>NW_014040927.1:0-212205 GCF_000001405.40 Homo sapiens
CATTTATGAATATATCACAATTTATTCATTCATCTTTTGATAGCCATTTGAATTGTTTCCTGTTTGGGGTTTATCAAAAGTAAAATTACTGGCCGGGTACGGTGGCTCATGCCTGTAATCCTAACACTTTGGGAGGCCGAAGCGGGAGGATCGCTTGAGCCCAGAAGTTCAAGACCAGCCTTGACCCCTCCTGGGGTCCCTCACCCTCACTCACAGCTCTACTCTGGTGAGGTGGCTGGTGGGGGAGTTGTATCTGGACCCCCAGTGGGTCCCAAGGGGTTAGGGGCTGCCTCATCCACTGGGGCCCCTGGTAGGAATAAGCAGCACCCCGCATGCACTACCCCCATTTCAGTATCAAGCTCGGGTTGGTGGTGCTCCCCCTACAAAGATGTCTAACACTCCAATGGGTGATGGGAACCTATCCTCTGCTTCACCACCAACCACCTTCCCCCATGTGGCACCAAACCTGCCTCCCCCATCTGCCCAAGCCCCCTCAACAATGCATCAGCAGCTGGGCATGGTGGCTCATGACTGTAGTCCCAGCAGTTTGGGAGGACAACACAGGAGGATCACTTGAGGTCAGCAGTTCGAGACCAGCCTGGCCAACATGGTGAAACCCCGTCTCTACTAAAAATATAAAAATAGTCGGGCGTGGTGGTGCGCATTCGTAGCCCCAGCTACTCGGGAGGCTGAGGCAGGAGAATCGCTTGAACTCAGGAGGCAGAGGCTGCAGTGAGCCAAGATAGTGCCACCGCACTCCAGCCTGAGATACAAATCTAGAATCTGTCTCACAGAAAGCAAAACAAACAAAAAACCCCAGCACATTAGCTTCTCCTCCAGGCCCGGGGCCCCTGCCCTGTGGCACAGGGAGAGAGCATCTGTCCTCTCCCTGTGCCACGGGGCAGGGAATGGGAGGGTTTCCTCCTGGCCCAGAGAACGACTTGACTCTAGCTCCCACAGCCCACCCTCTGCCCCGGCTCCCTGCTTCCTCTTCTTCCGCCCCACTGAGGTTTCTTTACTCATGCTCTAGTAGCAGCTCTGCGGCAGCCTCCTCTTCCAGTTCTTCCTCCTCCTCCTCTGCCTCCCAGTACCCTGCTTCCCAGGCATTGCCCAGGTATCCCCACTCCTTCCCTCTTGCAACAAGCCTCTCTGTCCCCAATCAGGCCCCCAAGTATACTCAATCTTCTCTTCCAGCCCAGGCTGTGTAGAGCCAGGGTCCCCCACAACCTCCTGTGGCGGCCTCTTAGGCTTCCTCCTTCTCCTGGAGGCCAATCCACTGCCCACATCACCCCCAACACATCACCATCACCACCAGCAGCAACACTGTGGAAGCTCCAGGCCCCCTCCACCTGGAGCATTTCCCCACCACCTGGAGAGCTGTAGCCACATAGCCCCATACCATGCACACTCTTTTTTTTTTTTTTTTTTTTGAGACGGAGTTTCACTTTTGTCACCCAGGTTGGAGTGCAGTAGTGGCACTATCTTGGCTCACTGCAACCTCTGCCTCCTAGGTTCAAGTGATTCTTCTGCCTCAGCCTCCCAAGTTCCTGGGATTACAGGCGCTCACCACCATAAGTGGCTAATTTTTGTATTTTTAGTAAAGACAGGGTTTCACCATGTTGGCCAGGCTGGTCATGAACTCCTGACCTCAGGTGATCCACCTGCCTCGGCCTACCAAAGTGCTGGGATTACAGGCGTGAGCCACAGCGCCCGGCCAATGCACACTCTTATGCCATGTGTTCCTCCCTGGGGTCTCTTTGGCTCTATCCATCAGGGCCAGCATACCTGGCCCCATCTCACAGCCAGATGTCCTACAGCCAAGCAGGCCCCAATTGCCCCCTACCTCCCACGGTCTCTTCTTCTCTTTTTTTCCTCCTCTCAAGGGTCCTACCCACTTTCACACACCTCCCAGGGCCCCTACCTCTTCCTGCTGGTGCCTACGGTCACCACCTCCTTGGCTGCCCTTTCCACTGCCATTGCTATTGTGGCTTCCTCACCAGCAGACTACAAAACAGCCTACTCGCCTGGGCCCACGCCATAGGGAGAGAAAGCTGCATCCCCAGGGACTAGAAGACAGGCCACACAGATACAAGCCAGGGTGCCTCTCTCCATCTGAAGGGGACCCCATCGGGTCAAACCAGTCTTGCCCACTGTGGGACCTGTCACTTGTGAGCCCTCAGGTGTCATCTCTGCCACCACCACCTGTGGCCCCTGCCTCAGGGTTACCCCTAAGCACCAGACAGATCAAACAGGAGCTTGCTGAGGAGTATGAGACCACTAAGAGTCCAGTGCCCCCAGCCTACAGCCTCCAACTCCTCCTAAGGTGGTGGTAGTCCTTTCCAGCCATGCCAGTCAGTCAGCCAGGTGAGTGGGTACGGGAGGGTGAGCCTGGAAGGGGGTTATGAAGGGGCGACAGAGAGTGGCACAAGAGGGGCTTTCTGTTTATGTGGTGGTTTTTGTTGTTGTTGTTGTTTTTTTGAGATGGTTTCGCTCTTGTTGCCCAGGCTGGAGTGCAATGGCGCGATCTTGGCCCACTGCAATCTCCGCCTCCTGGGTTCAAGCGATTCTGCTGCCTCAGCCTCCCAAGTAGCTAGGATTACAGGCATGTGCCACCACACCTGGCTAACTTTGTATTTTTAGTAGAGACAGGGTTTCTCCATGTTGATCAGGCTGGTCTTGAACTCCTGACCTCAGGTGATCCACCCACCTCAGCCTCCAAAGTGCTGGGATTACAGGCGTGAGCCACCATGCCCAGCCTATGTGGTGTTTTTTATCTTATTTTTTATTGAGACAAGGTCTTGCTCTGTCACCCAGGCTGGAAGGCTGGAGAGCAGTAGTGTGATCATGGCTCACTGCAACCGTGAACTCCTGGGCTCAAGCGATCCTCCCACCTCAGCCTACATGCCTGGAGCTGGGATGACAGGCACAGGTAGGAGCAACTGGCTAATTTTTTTATTTATATTTTTTGTATATTTTTTTTGTAGAGAATATATATATTTATATATATTTATATATATTTTTGTAGAGAATATATATAAATATATATTTTTATAATATAAAATATAAAAATATAAAAAATATATATTTTTTTTCTAGAGAAGGGGTCTCTATGTTGCCCAGGCTGGTCTCCAACTCCTGGGCTCAAGTGAACCTCCCGAAGTGTGGAGATTACAGGCATGAGCCACCGTGCCTGGCCTTTTGGTGAAATTTTGAGTCAAAAAAATTTTTTTTGAGACAAGGTCTGGCTCTGTTGCCCCAGCTGGATTGCAGTGGTGCGATCTCGGCTCACTGCAGCCTCTGCCTCCTGGGTTCAAGCAATCCTCCCACCTCAGCCTCCTGAGTAGCTGGGATTACAGGTCCATGCCACCACACCCAGCTAATTTTTGTATTTTTAGTAGAGATGGGTTTCACTACGTTGGCCAGGCTGGTCTCAACCTCCTGGCTCAAGTGATCCACCCGCCTTGGCCTCACAAAGTGCTGGGATTACATCATGAGCCACTATTCCTGGCCTTCACTCAAATCTTTTTGTCCATTTTTCTATTGGGGTTTTCTTTTTCTTATTGTTCAGTTTTGAGGGTTCTTAAATATATTCTGGATTGAATGGGCTCATGGATATTTATGAAATCATGCCCCCCAAGAGTTAAAGATACCAGTGACTGTTACCAAGCAAAAGGAGCTCACTGCCCGGTGGTACAGAAGTCAAATGCTATGGCACTAGGTTTTTGAGAAGAAAAAAAAAAAAGCTTTATTGTGAGTCAGCCAACAAAGAGACAGGAGGCCAGCTCAAATTGGCCTCCCTGTGCAATTCTTAAGTCAGTGCTTTTTAAACTTTTTATTGTATTTTATTTTTTAGAGACAGAGTCTTGCTTTTTTGCTCAGGCTGGAGTGCAGTGGCTTGATCTCAGCTCAGGTCACTGCAACACCTGCCTCCCAGGTTCAAGCAATTCTCCTGCCTCAGCCTCCCCAGTAGCTGGGACTAAATGTGCATGCCACGATGCCCGGCTCTTTTTTGTATTTTTTTTTAGTACAGATGGAGTTTCACCATGCTGGCCAGGCTGGTCTTGAACTCCTGACCTCAAGTGATCCACCCACCCCTGCCTCCCAAAGTGCTGGGAGTAAAGGCATGAGCCACAACGCATAGCCTGCAAATGGGTTTTGTTTTATTTATTTATTTATTTATTTATTTATTTATTTATTTATTTATGAGACGGAGTCTCGCTCTGTTGCCTAGGCTGCAGTGCAGTGGTGTAATCTCAGCTCACTGCAACCTCCGCCTCCCAGGTACCAGCAATTCTCCTGCCTCAGCCTCCCAAGTAGCTCGGATTACAAGGGCATGCCACCACACTCGGCTAAGTTTTGTATTTTTAGTAAAGACGGGATTTAACCATGTTGGTCAGGCTGGTCTCAAACTCCTGACCTCATGATCTGCCCACCTCGGCCTTCCAAAGTGCTGGGATTACAGGCGTGAGCCACTGTACCCAGCCTCTACAAGTGGGTTTTTAAAGGAAAAAAGAAGAGGTAGTTCCTAAGTTGTTTACCAATAATAATTTACATTAAAATAAAATAAGTTATTGATTGGCTACACATTGTTTTATTTTATTTTATTTTTTGAGATAGAGTCTCACTCTGTAGCCCAGGCTGGAGTGTAGTGGTGATATCTGGTCTCACTGCAACCTCCACCTCCTAGGTTCAAGCAATTCTCCCGGCTCACCCTCCCAAGTAGTTGGGACTACAGGCACGCACCACCATGCCTGGCTAATTTTTGTATTTTTAGTAGAGACGAGGTTTCACCATATTGGCCAAGCTGGTCTTGAACTCCTGACCTGGTGATCCGCCCGCCTCGGCCTCCCAAAGTGTTGGGATTACAGGCATCAGCCACCGCGCCTGGCCTATTTTTTCTTTTCTCACCAACTAATGGAAAAGTGAGGGCTTTATTTATGTATTCATTTTCAGATGGAGTCTTGCTCCGTCCCCCAGGCTGGAGTGAAGCAGCACGATCTCGGCTTACTGTAGCCTCTGCCTCCTAGGTTCAAGCAATTTCTGCCTTAGCCTCTTGAGTAGCTGGTTTTACAGGCATGTGCCACCACACCCCACCCAGCTAATTTTTTTTTTTTGAGACGTAGTCTAGTTGTGTCACCAGGCTGGAGTGCATGGCGCGATCTCGGCTCACTGCAACCTCCGCCTCCCAGGTTCAAATGATTCTCCTGCCTTAGCCTCCCAAGTAGCTGTGATTACAGGCACACAGCACCATGCCCAGCTAATTTTTGTATTTTTAGTAGAGACAGGGCTTCACCCTGTTGGCCAGGATGGTCTCAATTTCTTGACCTTGTGATCCACCCGCCTCAGCTTCCCAAAGTACTCGGATTACAGGCATGAGCCACCACGCCTGGCCTTTTTTTCTTTTTTGAAACAGGGTCTCACTCTATTGCCCAGGTTGGAGTGCAGTGTTGAGATCTCAGCTCACTGCAACCTCTGTCTCCCCTGCTCAAGAGATTCTCCCAACTCAACGTCCTGAGTAGCTGGGACTACAGGCACCTACCACCACGCCTGGCTAATTTTTGTGTTTTTTTAGAGACAGGGTTTCGCCACATTGCCCAGGCTAGTTTTGAACTCTTGAGCTCAAGTGATCTGCTTGCCTCGGCCTCCCAAAATGCTGGGATTATAGGTGTGAGCCACCGTGCCCTGCTGAGGAGAGTCTTAGTTTGGGATCCATGGATTCCTTTGAGGCCTATTCATGGGCTTCAAAGGATTAATCAGTCCTTGAAATCATACGCAAAATTTGTGTGTAGGTAGATAGCTTTTATCAGATTTCCAATGTGGTTTTTAATCCCCTCTTCCAAAGAAAAAACAATCACTGTAATATCTAGTTTCTAGTTTCAAGGAGTGAACTATCAAAGTATAAAACAGTAGAGACATCCAGCAGGATACTGACTGTTTGTGTCCATTTAATATGACAATTAGAAGGTCACTTCTTGGAAGAGTCATTTGGCTTTGCTCCCTCAATTTCCTTTCCACTTCACCTCACTTCAGTCTGGTTTTGGAATGCTAACACTCACTCTACCCAAACTGCTCTTGTTGTGGAGTCTGTGGTATCCACCAATGGGTTCTTTCTGCCTGCTGCACAAACAAAATTAATTGACAGAAACCATGGCATTGCAGTAAAGAAAGTTTAATTGACGCGAGGCTGGCCATGCCACGTGGGAGACAGAGTTGTTACTCAAATCCATCTCACCAAAGGCTCAGAGGTTAGGGGGTTTTTCAGATAGTTTGACAGGTACGGGGCCAGGGAATGGGGAGTGCTGACTGGTTGGGTCAGAGGTGAAATCATAAGAAGTAGAAGCTGTCCTCTTGCACTGAGTTGGTTCGTGGATCCCCAGGTTGATGAGTCAGGGTGGGGCCATCCACTTGTCAGAAATGCAAAAACCTGAAAAGACATCTCAAAAGGCCAATCTTAGGTTCTACAACAGTGATGTTATCTGCAGGAATGATTGGGGAAGATGCGAATTTGTGACCTGTGGAATAATGGGTGGTAATCATTTAACTACAATTACAACTTAGAAGAATTCAGGACCCTCTCATTCTCCTAACTTGGTGGCCTTTCATTTAGTTTTAAAAGGGCAGTTTTGGGGAAGGGTTATTATCATTTAAACTATAAACTAAATTTCTCCCAAAGTTAGTTTGTCCTGTGCCCAGGAATGAGCAAAGACAGCCAGTCTGTGAGGCTAGAATCAAGATAGGAGTAAACCATGTCAGATTTCTCTTACTGTCAAAATTTTGCAAAGGCGGTTTCAACAGAAATTAACATGTCTAGGATAGTTGCTTTTTCTATTATTTTTTCTATCACTGCATTTACTTTCATTCTGCCTTATGCTTTAACTAGGTAATTTTTTTTTTTTTTTTAGTTTTGGCGGTATCAACACTATATTCTTCTCTTTGACCACCGCATGCTGCCTACGTGGTAGACTCTCAATACGCATGGAACTGAACCTCTTACAGGATTTGTAACTCACTTCTGTGGTATCTAGTAAACTGGAACACGCGCTTTCCCTGGGCTGCTCTGTCATCCCAGGTTTCAGCACTCGGAAATCGCTTGGGCCCCCGCCCAGAGGCGGGGCTTGGGTGGGCTGACCACTCCTCTGGCCTCCAATACTGTCGCTGACATTCTCGTCTATGCTCCAGCAGCCGTACCTCACTCCGGTGGAGGCGGGACTTCCTACAGCACTTCCGGCCAGAGCCTCAAGCTTCGCTGCTGGGCAGTTGGCTGGAGGGGCTGCTGCTGGGAACACCTGGAGTCTCCGCGGGCAGGTGAGCTTCAGAGGTTCGGGGAGCTTTCGGAACGAGCATTCCTGGCCGGTGCGTCACCCTGCAGTGCTCTTGGCCTTTTCTTCCTTTCCTGGAATCTTCCCAGATTGCCAGAGCCGGGCGTTGCCTGCTCCGTGCGCTGGGAGGCGGTCCAGCCGGCTGGGTTGGGGCCACCCTGCGCCTCCTGGAAGGCCTTATTTAGGAGTAGCCGCACGTGATCTCTAGCATTTTAAGCTTCTCTCAGAGAATTGGCATGTCACTTTGGAAGAGGTGAAAATGGTACAGGCGACCAACGACTTTTACAAGGTGTCACCTTAGAGGAACAGCCTCGTCCTTCCGAATCAGTTAACATTGGTGATGACAGAGAAATAACGTTAAATAGGTGGAGAGCACTTAAAGTAACTGTTTGTTCTTTTGAGACAGTCTTGCTCTGTCGCCCAGGCTGGACTGCAGTGGCGCGGATCTCTGATCTCGGCTTACTGCAACCTCCGCCTCCTGGGTTCAAGCGATTCTGCTGCCTCAGCCTCCCGAGTAGCTGGGATTACAGGCGCGTGCCACCACGCTCGGCTAATTTTTGTATTTTTAGTAGAGACAGGGTTTCTCCATGTTGGCCAGGCTGCTCTCGAACTCCTGATCTCAGATGATCCACCCGCCTCGGCCTCCCAAACTGCTGGGATTACAGGCGTGAGCCACCGCGCCCGGCCTAAAGTAACTATTTTTACTTGGTGTTTACTACCAAATGGGGACTGTTCTAAGTTGTGGGTGGATCCAAATGATGGTGTGACAGCCTTATCCTCAGAGAAGCAGTCCTGGCAGGAAGACGGGGTTAACAAATTGCCAAACTGTTAGAGAAAGTTAGTGGAGGTAGAGATGAAGAGAGAAGACTTTTCTTTTCTCTGGCATTAATTTAGCCACGGCCGCTGTGTTTTGATACTTGCTTCAAACGTTTTTCATATTCTTAAGTTTTAACTTTTCTGTATGCTCATATTTTATATACTGTTGTAAACAGCATATCTCTGGGTTTTTTTTTTAATCTAAGTGGACAGCCTGCTTTTTTTTTTTTTTTTTTTTTTTGATATGGAGTCTTGCTCTGTCGCCCAAGGCTGGTGTGCAGTGGCCCAATCTCAGCTCACTGCAACCACGCCTCCCAGGTTCAAGCATATCTCCCACCTCAGCCTCCCGAGTAGTTGGGATGACAGGTGTGTGCCACCATGCCCAGCTAATTTTTTTTTTTTTGTATTTGTAGTAGAGATGGGGTTTCGCCATGTTGGCCAGACTGGTTTTGAAGGCCTGACTTCAGGTGATCCACCTGCTTCAGCCTCCCAAAGTGCTGGGGCTACAGGTGTGAGCCACCGTGCCCAGCCCAGTCTGCCTTTTGACTAGCAGGTTTATTGGATTTACATTCATTGTCACTACTGAAATATTTGTCTAGATGAAAATCTTTGGTATCATCCCTGATTAATCTCTTCCATATATATCAGCAAATCCTATGGACTCTCCACCTTTAAAATCTGTCCACACTCCCAGGCTCTTGTTATCACCTTCACTTGTTCAAGTTACGTTGTCTCGTACTTGAATTACTGCAGTAGTTTCTGCTCTTTCCTCTTTTAGTCTGTTTGCATCACAGTATCTCGGTTGATCCTTTAAAAAAAAATCAGATTTATGTCTTTCCTCTCAAAAATCCTCCAAGGACTACACATTTCACCTGGAGTGAAAGCCAAAGTCGGCCGGGCGTGGTGGCTCATGCCTGTAATCCCAGCACTTTGGGAGGCCGAGGTGGGTGGATCACGAGGTCAAGAGGTCGAGACCATCCTGGCCAACATGGTGAAACCCCGTCTCTACTAAAAATACAAAAATTAGCCGGGCGTGGTGGTGCGTGCCTGTAATCTCAGCTACTCAGGAGGCTGAGGCAGAAGAATCGCTTGAACCCGGGAGACAGAGGATGCAGTGAGCCGAGATCGTGCCACTGCACTCCAGCCTGGCGATAGAGCAAGACTCTGTCTCAAAAAAAACAACAAAAACAAAAAAAACAAAAACTGGCTGGGCGCAGTGGCTCAAGCCTGTAATCCTGGCACTTTGGGAGGCCAAGACTGGTGGATCACCTGAGGTCAAGTGTTCAAGACCAGCCTGGCCAAAGTGGCGAAACCCCGTCTCTACTAAAAAAAAACACAAAAAATTACCCAGGTGTGGTGGTGTGTGTCTGCAATCCCAGCTATTAGGGAGGCTGAGGCAGGAGAATTGCTTGAACCTGGGGGCAGGCGCGGAGGTTGCAGTGAGCCGAGATTGTGCCATTGCACTCCAGTCTGGGCAACAAGGGCAAAACTCTGTCTCAAAAAAAAAAAAAAAGCCGAAGTCTTCAGAGTGGATTATTCATCGAAGGTCCTATGTGACCTAGCCCTGCTTCACTGCTGATCTCATGTCGTTCTCATCTCCTGTTTGCTCTACTGTATGGTCTCCTCAAGCGCATCCTAGCCTCAGGATATTTGCACTTGCTATTCCTTTCCCTCATATGTCCACATGGCTCAGTTCTTTACCTCTCTCATATTTTGGGGACCTTTACCTTCTCAGTAAGGCCTTCTCTGACAAGCCACTGCCATCTTTAACATTTCCATTGCACTCGTTATCCTTGTGCTTATCATCATATGACATGCCATGTGATAGAGTCATTTATCTGGTTTATTATGTTTTCTCTCACTGGCATAGAAGGTTTATGAGGGCAGGTATTTTTCTGTTTTGTTTACTGCTGTATTCTTTTTTTTTTTTTTTTTCTGAGACGGATTCTTGCTCTGTTGCCCAGGCTGGAGTGCAGTGGTACGTTCTCGGCTCACTGCAACCTCTGCCTCCTGGGTTCAAGCAATTCTCTGCCTCAGCCTCCCAACTAGCTGTGATTACAGGCGCATGCCACCATGCCTGGCTAATTTTTGTATTTTTAGTAGAGATGGGGTTTCACCATCTTGGCCAGGTTGGTCTTGAACTGCTGACCTTGTGATTCACCCGCCTCAGCCTCCCAAAGTGCTGGGATTACAGGCGTGAGCCACTGCACCCGGCATTTTTTTTTTTTTTTTGGGAAGATCTCTTATTGTACTTCCCTGTAAAATCCATTACTGTTTTATTCCAATTGCCTAAAATAGTATCTGGCTTTTAGCAGACACTCCATAATATAATTGTTGATTGAATGAATTTGGGGTTTTTGCACCATCTTCTACACTTCATATTTTTATGCTTTTTTCCTCCTTGTCTTTTCTTTTTTTTTTTTTTGAGATGGAGTCTTGCTCTGTCGCTCAGGCTGGAGTGCAATTGTGTGATGTCGGCTCACTGCAACCTCCGCCTCCCGGGTTCAAGCGATTCTCCTGCCTCAGTCTCCTGAGTAGCTGGGATTACAGGCGCACGCCACCACGCCCAGCTCTTTTTTGTATTTTTAGTAGAAATGGGGTTTCACCATGTTGGTCAGGTTGGTCTTGAACTCCTGACCTCATGATCCGCCCGCCTCAGCTTCCCAAAGTGCTGGGATTACAGGTGTGAGCTATCACGCCTGGCTTTTTTTTTTTTTTTTTTTTTTTTTTTTTTTTTTGAGACAGAGTGGTTGCTCTTGCTGCCCAGGCTAGAGTGCAATTGCATGATCTTGGCTCACCGCAACCTCCGCCTCCTGGCTTCAAGCAATTCTGCCACCTCAGCCTCCTCAGTAGCTGGGATTACAGGCATGCGCCACCATACCTGACTAATTTTGTATTTTTAGTAGAGATGGGGTTTCTCCATGTTGGTCAGGCTGGTCTTGAACTTCTGACCTCAAATGATCCACCTGCCTCAGCCTCTCAAACTGCTGGGATTACAGGCGTGAGCCACCGCCCCCGGCCACTCTTGTCTTTTTTTTTTTCCCTTTTTTTTTTTTTTTGAGACAGGGTCTCCCTCTGTCACCCAGGCTGTAGTGCACTGACACGATCTTGGCTCACTGCAAGCTCTACCTCCCGGGTTCAAGTGATTCTCCCACCTCAGCCTCTGAGTAGCTGGGATTATACGCGTGTGCCACCATAGCCTGGCTAATTTTTGTATTTTTATTAGAGATGGGGTTTCATCATATTGGTTAGGCTTGTCTCAAACTCCCAACCTCAGTTGATCCACCCACCTCTGCCTCCCAAAGTGTTAGGATTACAGGCGTGAGCTACAGCACCCGGCCCCACCTTTTTTTCTGAGACAGAGTTTTGCTCTTGTCACCCAGGCTGGAGTGCAATGGCACGATCTCGGCTCACTACAACCTCCACTTCCCGGATTCAAGTGATTCTCCTGCCTCAGCCTCCCAAGTAGCTGGGATTACAGGGACCCGCCAGCATACCCAGCTAATTTTTGTTTTTTTAGTAGAGGTGGGGGTTTCACCATGTTGGCCGGGCTGGTCTCGAACTCCTGACCTCAGGTGATCTGCCTGCCTTGGCCTCCCGAAGTGCTGGGATTACAGGCATGAGCCACTGTGCCTGCCCTTTTTTTCATTTTTTCATTTTTTTGTACAATAGGGTCTCCCTCTGTTGCCCAGGCTGGAGTACAGTGGTGTGATCAGGGCTCACTGCAGCCTCGAACTCCTGGGCTCAGGTCATCCTCCAACCTAAGCCTCCCAAATACATTGGCCTATAGGCGTGCACCACCACACCCAGCTGATTTTTATATTTTAATTTTTAATTTTGCTGTGCATATTTAGCTGGGATTACAGACGCACTCCACCTCGCCAGGCTAATTTTTGTATTTTTAGTTGCAACGGGATTTCACCATAGTGGCAAGGCTGCTCTGGAACTCCTGACTTCAGATGATCCTCCTGCCTTGGCCTCCCAAAGTGTTGGGATTACAGGCGTGAGCCACCGCTCCTGGCTGGCTTTGTAGAACCTTAAACATATTTATCTATCTTAAGAATTTTTCCCAAGGAAATACTTCATAAGGTAATATTTTAAAAATCAAAGCTGTTTTTAGCTGTTTTCTTTGGAGTTGTAAATAAACAGCATTAGAGAAATGATTGGCTGGGTGCAGTGGTTCACACCTATAATCCTAGCACTTTGGAAGGCTGAGACGGGAGAATCTCTTGAGGCCAGCAGTTTGAGACCAACCTGGGCAGCATAGAGAGATCCCTTCTCTACCAATAGAAAAGAGAGAGAGAGAGAGGCTGGGCACGGTGGCTCACGTCTGTAATTCCAGCACTTTGGGAGGCCGAGGCGGGCGGATCTCGAGGTCAGGAGATCGAGACCATCCTGGCTAACATGGTGAAACCACGTCTCTACTAAAAATACAAAAAATTAGCCGGGCGTGGTGGTGGGTGCCTGTAGTCCCAGCTACTGGGGAGGCTGAGGCAGGAGAATGGCGTGAACCCGGGAGGCGGAGCTTGCAGTGAGCTGAGATTGCACCACTGCACTCCAGCCTGGGCGACAGAGTGAGACTCCGTCTAAAAAAAAAAAAAAAAAAAAAAAGAGAGAAATTATTAAGTAAATTGTGGTATCATACTTGGATATTGAGATGATTAATGTGTTGACTCTGTGGCTGTATAGAAAAATGTTTATGGACAAATGTTAATATGGCCAGTTGAGGTAGCTCAAACCTGTAATCCCAGCACTTTGGGAATCCTCAGGAGGATTGCTTGAGCCCAGGAGTTAAAGACCAGCCTGGATAACATAGTGAGGCCCTACTTTATTTTAAAGGAAGTTAATAAAAGAAGTAGAACAAATTATATGTCTCAGTGGTAGTAAAATTCTGCTTACATGTTAATGAAAATTTTGAAAGGGCACTTAAAACTAGTAAAAAACTCATTTTTAGGGTAATACAATTGTAGTAAAATTTAAACATTTAAATTTTATGATCGGAAGATGGTAGTAAATCAGAAATGGCTTTGGAATTTCTTTCATTGCAACCTTAATAGTAAGCAACAGTCTTTCCCATGAAAGGGACAGAAAAAAAAGAATGTAACGTCTACATTTTTTTTTTTCTTTGAGACGCAGTCTCACTCTGTGGCCCAGTCTGGAGTGCAATGGCACGATCTTGGCTCACTGCAACCTCCGCCTCCAGGGTTCAAGCAATTCTTGTGCCTCAGTCTCCCAAGTAGGTGGGATTACAGGCACTCACCACCATGCCCGGCTAATTTTTGTATTTTTATTTTTATTTATTTTTATTTTTATTTTATTTTATTTTATTTTTGAGACGGAGTCTCGCTCTGTCGCCCAGGCTGAAGTGCGGTGGCGCGATCTCGGCTCACTGCAAGCTCCGCCTCCCGGGTTCACGCCATTCTCCTGCCTCAGCCTCCCGAGTAGCTGGGACTACAAGCGCCCGCCACCACGCCTGGCTAATTTTTTTGTATTTTTAGTAGAGACGGTGTTTCACCGTGTTAGCCAGGATGGTCTCGATCTCCTGACCTCGTGATCCTCCCGCCTCGGCCTCCCAAAGTGCTGGGATTACAGACGTGAGCCACCGCACCCAGACTTGTATTTTTATTTTTTAAATTTTAAAATTTTATTTATTTTTTTGAGACTGAGTCTTTCTTTGTTGCCCAGGCTGGAATGCAATGGCATACCTTGGCTGACTGCAGCCTCCGCCTCTTGGGTTCAAGCCTCCAGAGTAGCTGGGATTACGGGTGCTTGCCACCATGCCTGGCTAATTTTTGTATTTTTAGTAGAGACAGGTTTCACCATGTTGGCCAGGCTGGCCTCGAACTCCTGACCTCAGATAATCCACCCTCCTCGGCCTCCCAAAGTACTGGGATTACAGGCGTGAGCCACTTTGCCTAGCCTACACTGTTAAATGAATGCTTTTCAGACCATTGTACCCCACGTGCAGGTCAGGCCACATCTGGAATGTGGCGTTCAGTTCTAGATATCGCAATTTAAGCATGGAATCAGTAAATCAGTTACAGAGGAAAACTGGAATGCTATAAGGAGGGTTTAAGGAGCTGGAAATGTTTACCCTGGTAGAGAGGTTTGGGAGATGAAGACAGGAAGCAGGGAAAGCAGAAATGGTAACAAATGGCCTTCCATATTTATTTATTTATTTTTTGAGACTGAATCTCCCTCTGTCGCCCAGGCTGAAGTGCAGTGGTGCAATCTGGGCTCACTGCAACCTCCGCCTCCTGGATTCAAGTGATTCTCCTGCCTCAGCCTCCCTAGGAGCTGGGATTACAGGTATCCGCCACCACACCTGGCTAATTTTTGTATTTTTAGTAGAGACGGGGTTTCACCATGTTGGCCAGGCTGGTCTCGAACTCCTGACCTCAGGTGAGTCACCCACCTTGTCCTCCCGAAGTGCTGGGATTACAGGTGTGAGCTACTGTGCCCAGCTGGCCTTCCACATTTAAATGTTGTCTGGGAAAGGGAATATATTGATTCTCTGTAGCTACATAGGGCAGTAGTAGAAAATTACTAGGTGAAAATGATAGAGATGTAGATTTCTTTTTTTTTCTTTTTTTTTTTTTTTTTTGAGATGGAGTCTCACTCTGTTGCCCAGGCTGGAGTGCAGTGGTGCGATCTCGGCTCACTGCAAGCTCCGCCTCCTGGGTTCACACCATTCTCCTGCCTCAGCCTCCCGAGTAGCTGGGACTACAGGCGCCCACCACCACGCCCGGCTAATTTTTTGTATTTTTAGTAGAGATGGGGTTTTGCTGTGTTAGCCAGGATGGTCTCAATCTCCTGACCTCATGATCCGCCTGCCTTGTCCTCCCAAAGTGCTGGGATTACAGGCATGAGCCACTGTGCCTGGCCTAGAGATGTAGATTTCATCTTTTTAAAGAAGAATAACAAGAGTCACTCCAACATTTAAGTGGGCTATCTTCATTAGTTAGCAAGTGTGTGTATTTTAAAAAGTCATTCCATCTGAACCAAGCCTTAGTCAGCACCCAGATAGACCTAACTAAGAGCAACATGCCACTCACATTCAGGTGATTAGGAGAGGGCCCAGTGCAGGCCATTACAGAGAACTTAACTAGGCAGCAGCTGACTGCAGGTCATTTTGACTGGATACTAAAATGGGGCTGGGGGTGGGGGAGTGATCAAAGTGGTTGTCCTAGCAACAGGCAATAAGGGTGCAGAGTGGGCCAGTAACAGCATCAAGTAGGTCTAACATCAGGAAACAGGGACCCACTGGTTACTAGCTAGAAGAAGAGGGTAAAGGCTTTGGAACTAAGGCATAGGTCACCAAGACATGGATCCAGTTTCTAGGTCTTCACGGAAGATCATGGTATCAAGAAAGACATTATTAGAAACGTTCAGAGACTAGACAGGATCATCAAAAATACTGACTTGAGGCTGGGCGCAGAGGTTCACACCTGTAATCCCAGCACTTTGGGAGGCCGAGATGGGTGAATCACCTGAGGTCAGGAGTTCGAGACCAGCCTGACCAATAAGGTGAAACCCCATCTCTATTGAAAAAAAAAATACAAAATTAGCCGGGCTTGGTGGCACATGCCTATAATCCCAGCTACTCTGGAGGCTGAGGCAGGAGAATCGCTTGAACCCGGGCGGTGGAGGTTGCAGAGCTGAGATCACGCCATTGCACTCCAACCTGGGTAACAGAGCGAGACTCTTCTCAAAACAAACAAACAAAAACACCTGACTTGACACAGAGACTGTTAATTACTGACCTTAGACCTTATACCTAATGATCTCATTGGTCATGTCTGTGGGCACAGCATACAGGTAGGAATGGAAAAAAAAAATTGTTACTGGAGATTAAGTAGGATCAAGCATGTGAAGGAATTCATGAGTTACCTACAGATGTTAGATTAATAATGAGAATGGCTTCCTAGTGTCTTCAATCCTCATTCCTGCTATTACACTCTCTGGTTTTACTTCCCATTGATGGCTGCCCCCTTCTTCTCACCAAGCCATTCTCACTGTTAGCCTGATCTGCAGGGTGATGTAGTAGTACCCTTAAGCTGAGCCCCAGCTGGAAAGAGCCTCAGACTGATTATGGGGCCTTGTGAGTTTCTGGATTTAGATAATCCCTATACAGTCTAGTTCATGGAGCCAAGATTTGGCCTAGTACTTTAATTTCTTGTAGGAGTGGAGTTCTGCAGTCATTTTATTCGTCCCTCTTCTTAGGGACTAGAGCTCTGAATCTGAGCACAGGTTTTTGGGTAGTGCTGTGTCTCTGGCCAGACCTCTTAGCTTACTAAAACATAAATTCCCCATGCCTGGTCTGACCCGTATGTTGATCCTGCCATCACATCATCTAAACTGGCCGGCACAGTGGCTCACACCTGTAATCCCAGCACTTGGAGGCCGAGGTGGGAAGATCACTTGAGGTCAGGAGTTTGAGACCAGCCTGGCCCACATGGTGAAATCCCGTCTCTACTAAAAATACAAAAATTAGCTGGGCCTGGTGGCGGCCGCCTGTAATCCCAGTTACTCAGGAGGGTGAGGCGGAAGAATCGCTTGAACCCGGGAGATGGAGGTTGCAGTGAGCTGAGATTGCACCAGCCTGAGCGACAGAGTGAGACTCCGTCTCAATTAAAAAAAAAAAATCATCTAAACTGCTTTGACTTTTCTCACCAACTTTGGGCTCGGAGATTATTTCTCTTTTGCTTTTCAACACTACTGGGCATGTTTAGATCTGGATCCTGGCCCCCTTCCCAATGGCCCTGTCCTCCTTTATTTAAATAGACAAAATTCAGCTCCATTTTGAAAGTAGGATTCTTTTCACAACAATTGGGAAAAATGATTTTTTTTGTTTTGTTTTTTGTGAGATGGAATTTTGCTCTGTCGCCAGGCTGGAGTGCAGTGGCACGATCTTGGCTCACTGCAACCTCTGCCTCCCGCATTCAAGTGATTCTCCTGCCTCAGATGGCCAAGTAGCTGGGACTACAGGCGCGCACTACATGCCCAACTAATTTTTTTGTATTTTTAGTAGAGACAGGGTTTTACCCTGTTGGCTGGGATGGTATCGATCTCTTGACCTTGTGATCTGCCTGCCTTGGCCTCCCAAAATGCTGGGATTGCAGGCGTGAGCCACCGCGCCCAGCCTAATGTTATTGTTTTTACAAAATATTTGAGGAGCTGATTGAGAGGACCTTATGCAGAAACTTAATAAACTTAAAATCATATAATGTGAGATTGAAATGCTTAGATTATTCTGTAATATGGAAATAGCAGGTCTAATGTAACAGACAACTCCAGTAACAGAGGAAATGTCTACCTATTCTTTTTTTTTTTTTGAGATGGGGTCTTGCTCTGTCACCCAGGCAGAAGTACAATGGCTCGATCTCGGCTCATTGCAACCTCTGCCTCCCGGGTTCAAGCGATTCTCCTGCCTCAGCCTCCTGAGTAGCTGGGATTACAGGCATCGCGCCACCACGCCTGGCTAGTTTTTGTATTTTTAGTAGAGACGGGGTTTCACCATGGTGGTCAGGCTGGTCTCGAACTCCTGACCTTGTGATCCACCCGCCTCGGCCTCTCAAAGTGCTGGGATTACAGACATGAGCCACCACTCCCCTTCCATCTACCTGTTCTTAAAATAAAAAAAACCCATAAAGGTGGAGAGGTAATAATAACAAAGGCCTCAGATATCTATATACCAATGGAGTTTGTGGGTAGTCAGTAATGTATTCTAACCCCAGATGGCATGTAACAGCATATGTTTTTTCTTTTGTTTTGTACACATATTATATATGATAATATTAAAATAGAAAAATACTTTGTTCAATAGTTATGTAACTTGTCGTTTAAAAATCCTTGTACTTCAACACTGTTATCTTTTATTTGTGTTTTTTTGTTTGTTTGTTTTGAGACAGGCTCTAGCTCTGTTGCCTAGGCTGGAGCAGAGTGGCATGATCTTGGCTTACTGCAGCCTCAGTCTTCTGGGCTCACATGATCCTCCCACTTCAGCTTCCCAAGTAGCTGGGACTACAGGCGTGTGCCACAATGCCTGGCTAATTTTTGTATTTTTTTTTGGTAGAGATAAGTTTCACTATGTTGCCCAGGCTGGTCTCGAATTCCTGGCCTCAGGTGATCTGCCTGCCTTGGCCTCCCAAAGCGCTGAGATTACAGGCATGAGCAACCGTGCCCAGCCAACACTGCTAGCTTTTTAAAACAGAAAGTGAGTTTTATTTAGGCCGGCCGCGGTGGCTGATGCTTGTAATTCCAGCATTTTGGGAGACTGAGGTGAGTGGATCACTTGAGGTCAGGAGTTCAAGACCAGCCTGGCCAACATGGTGAAACACCATCTCTACTAAAAATTCAAAAATTAGCTGGGTATGGTGGCGTGTGCGTGGTGGCGTGTGCCTGTAATCCCAGTTACTAGGGAGGCTGTGGCAGGAGAATTGCTTGAACCCAGCAGGCAGAGGTTGCAGTTAGCAGAGATCGTGCCACTGCACTCCAGCCTGGGCAACAGAGCGAGACTCTGTCTCAAGAAAAGAAAAAAAGAAAGTGAGTTTTATTTAGACAAAGATGAAGGTTTGGAAATTAACCATATTTGTGCTTGCAAAAGGGGCACGGATTTTTAAGCCCTAGTCTCACAGGCTCTCTCTGCAGCATCTGATACTGTTGCTTGATTATTCCTGCTTTAAACTCTGTCCCTTGGATTCCAAGGCATCAGGTAGCTGCTCTTCTTTTTTCTTTTCTGTTTTTTCTTTCTCCGACTTCTTAGGGATTTCTTCTTTCTTAACTATTATGTTTTTGCAGGATTCTGTCATTGATCCCCTTTTCTTTCTAGCTGATACCCTTTCATTCTCATCTACTTTCATGCTATCAGTTATAAGCTCTGTGCTGACAACCCCTAAAAACATGTTTCTAGGCCGGGCGCAGTGGCTCATGCCTGTAATCCCAGCACTTTGGGAGGCAGAGGAGGGTGGATCACCTGAGATCAGAAGTTTGAGACCAGTCTGGCCAACATGGTGAAACCCCGTCTATACTAAAAATACAAAACAATTAAACAGCATGGTGGTGGGTGCTGTAATCCCAGCTACTTGGGAGGCTGAGGCAGGGGAATTGCTTGAACCAGGGAGGTGGAGGTTGCAGTGAGCCGAGATCGTGCCACAGCACTCCAGCCTGGGCAACAGAGTGAGACACCATCTTAAAAAACAACAACAAGAACAAAAAAAACACATTTCTAGCGCAAATGTATCGTTTGAGCTAGAGACCCACATCCGTCATCACCCTCTATAGGCACTTTAAGTATACTGACTTCTCTCCCAAACTTGAACCTTCTCTTATAGGCCAGGCGCGGTGGCTCACACCTGTAATTTTACCACTTTGGGAGACTGAGGTTGGTGGATTGCTGGAGCTCAGGAGTTGGAGACCAGCCTGGGCAATGTAGCAAAACCCCTTCTCTACTGAAAATACAAAAATTGGCTGGGTGTGGTGAAGCACATCTGTGGACCCGGTTACTCTGGTGGCTGAGGCACAAGAACCCTTGAGCCTGGAAGGTGGGGGTTGCAGTGAGCCGAGATTGCGCCACTGCACTCCAGCCTGGGCGACAGAGCAAGACTGTGCCTCAAAAAAAAAAAAAAAAATTCCTTTAAAGGAATTGTATTAAGTTCTTATCAGTGTTGTATTTTTCTTCCTAGATCTCATATTTTGGATTCTGGATATATTATAATGAGTGACACTTTGACAGCGGATGTCATTGGTCGAAGAGTTGAAGTTAATGGAGAACATGCAACAGTACGTTTTGCTGGTGTTGTCCCTCCCGTGGCAGGTAAGCAATTATTGTGTGTGTGTGTGTGTGTGTGTGTGTGTGTGTGTGTGTGTGTGTGTGTGTGTATTTTGCAGCTGTTTCTGTGTAAGCTTCTCAGTAGCACTTTATACCACAAATTTTGACGAAATTAACAACTAATTTATAGGTGCCTCCTGTATCCAGTTTTATCTGAGTGACAGTATCCTGTGGTATCTATGATTTTGTTTAATTATATGCCATTTAATTATTTAGTGTTGCTATCTTATATAAAATCAACCTTAAAATATCTTCTGAGGAAACTATAAACAGCTAAAAGTCTTGAAACCTCATAAACCTCAACTCAAGTAATTTTTTTGAAATTTCTTTTGTCATTAATCCACGTGTGTAGGTATCTAATATAGTTTAAACTGATACACATTACAATTTTTGTTACCTTTTTTTTAAACTTATTTTTTGGTATAAATTTACCTATGTTTCTACAGCATTATTTTGCAATATTTCTTCTTTTTTTGATTTTGCGTATTTCTTAATTATTACATTTAGTATAATATATAGTTTGTTTAATTGTTCCCCATTTTTGGATGTTAATTTCTAGTTTTTAGAGTAAATAATAATGTAGTAGACTTACTCATAAGTCTTAGTCAACAAAAATTTGACTGTTTTCTGTGTATTTTGAGACAGAGTTTCGCTCTTGTTATTCAGGCTGGAGTGTAGTGGTGCGATGTTGGCTCACCGCAACCTCTGCCTCCTGGGTTCAAGCGATTCTCCTGCCTCAGTCTCTCGAGTAGCTGGGATTTCAGGCATGTGCCACCACACCCGACTAATTTTGAATTTTTAGGGGAGACAGGGTTTCTCCATGTTGGTCAGGCTGGTCTCGAACTCCTGAGGTGTTCTGCCTGCCTCGGCCTCCCAAAGTGCTGGGATTACAGGTGTGAGCCACCGTGCCTGGCCAATAAGGAGGCTTTCTATGAACTGGGCAACTGCTGGAACCAAGCTGATATGGGTTTACTAGCTGATTGCAATGTGCCCAGAATTAGAATATTTATCCATATTTTTACATTACCCATCCCTCTTGTTTCTTCTGAGCTGCAGCCAGAGATCACCAGTTGGTTCACAGGAATAAGCAGGGTTAGCCTAAATTGAAGAAACAAACTTAAAAACAACTAATGAGACTAGAATCTAATGACAAATGCCCCATAGTTCTTGAAACATAATTTTTCTCTCTAGTTTCCAAGTTTTACTAAAGACAAGTCATGGTAAGACTGATTTGCTTGGGCCGGGCACGGTGGCTCACACCTGTATTCCCAGCACTTTGAGAGGCCAAGGCGGGCGGATCACAAGGTCATGAGATTGAGACCATCCTGGCTAACACGGTGAAACCCCATCTCCAGTAAAAATCCAAAAAATTAGCCGGATGTGGTGGCGGGCACCTGTAGTTCCAGCTACTAAGGGAGACTGAGGCAGGAGAATGGCATGAACCTGGGAGGTGGAGGTTGCAGTGAGCCGAGACCACGCCACTGCACCCCAGCCTGGGCGACAGAGCGAGACTCCTTCTCCAAAAAAAAAAAAAAAAAAAAAAAAAAAGACTGATTTGCTTTATTGTAATTGGCCTGATTATTTGTATAAAGTGCAGCAAGAATAATTATTTTTCTTTTTTTTCTTTTTTTAATTTTTTAATTGTATTTTTATTTTATTATTATTATACTTTAAGTTTTAGGGTACATGTGCACAATGTGCAGGTTAGTTACATATGTATACATGTGCCATGCTGGTGTGCTGCACCCATTAACTCGTCATTTAGCATTAGGTATATCTCCTAATGCTATCCCTCCCCCCTCCCCCCACCCCACAACAGTCCTCAGAGTGTGATGTTCACCTTCCTGTGTCCATGTGTTCTCATTGTTCAGTTCCCACCTATGAGTGAGAACATGCAGTGTTTGGTTTTTTGTCCTTGTGATAGTTTACTGAGAATGATGATTTCCAATTTCATCCATGTCCCTATAAAGGACATGAACTCATCATTTTTTATGGCTGCATAGTATTCCATGGTGTATATGTGCCACATTTTCTTAATCCAGTCTATCATTGTTGGACATTTGGGTTGGTTCCAAGTCTTTGCTATTGTGAATAGTGTCACAATAAACATACGTGTGCATGTGTCTTTATAGCAGCATGATTTGTAGTCCTTTGGGTATATACCCAGTAATGGGATGGCTGGGTCAAATGGTATTTCTAGTTCTAGATCCCCAAGGAATCGCCACACTGACTTCCACAATGGTTGAACTAGTTGACAGTCCCACCAACAGTGTAAAAGTGTTCCTATTTCTCCACATCCTCTCCAGCACCTGTTGTTTCCTGACTTTTTAATGATTGCCATTCTAACTGATGTGAGATGGTATCTCATTGAGGTTTTGATTTGCATTTCTCTGATGGCCAGTGATGGTGAGCATTTTTTCATGTGTTTTTTGGCTGCATAAATGTCTTCTTTTGAGAAGTGTCTGTTCATGTCCTTCGCCCACTTTTTGATGGGGCTGTTTGTTTTTTTCTTGTAAATTTGTTTGAGTTCATTGTAGATTCTGGATATTAGCCCTTTGTCAGATGAGTAGGTTGCGAAAATTTTCTCCCATTTTGTAGGTTGCCTGTTCACTCTGATGGTAGTTTCTTTTGCTGTGCAGAAGCTCTTTAGTTTAATTAGATCCCATTTGTCAATTTTGGCTTTTGTTGCCATTGCTTTTGGTGTTTTAGACATGAAGTCCTGGCCCATGCCTATGTCCTGAATGGTATTGCCTAGGTTTTCTTCTAGGGTTTTTATGGTTTTAGGTCTAACGTTTAAGTCTTTAATCCATCTTGAATTAATTTTTGTATAAGGTGTAAGGAAGGGATCCAGTTTCAGCTTTCTACATATGGCTAGCCAGTTTTCCCAGCACCATTTATTAAATAGGGAATCCTTTCCCCATTGCTTGTTTTTCTCAGGTTTGTCAAAGATCAGATAGTTGTAGATATGCGGCGTTATTTCTGAGGGCTCTGTTCTGTTCCATTGATCTATATCTCTGTTTTGGTACCAGTACCATGCTGTTTTGGTTACTGTAGCCTTGTAGTATAGTTTGAAGTCAGGTAGTGTGATGCCTCCAGCTTTGTTCTTTTGGCTTAGGATTGACATGGCGATGCGGGCTCTTTTTTGGTTCTATATGAACTTTAAAGTAGTTTTTTCCAATTCTGTGAAGAAAGTCATTGGTAGCTTGATGGGGATGGCATTGAATCTGTAAATTACCTTAGGCAGTATGGCCATTTTCACGATATTAATTCTTCCTACCCATGAGCATGGAATGTTCTTCCATTTGTTTGTATCCTCTTTTATTTCATTGAGCAGTGGTTTGTAGTTCTCCTTGAAGAGGTCCTTCATGTCCCTTGTAAGTTGGATTCCTAGGTATTTTATTCTCTTTGAAGCAATTGTGAATGGGATTTCACTCATGATTTGGCTCTCTGTTTGTCTGTTATTGGTGTATAAGAATGCTTGTGATTTTTGTACATTGATTTTGTAACCTGAGACTTTGCTGAAGTTGCTTATCAGCTTAAGGAGATTTTGGGCTGAGACAGTGGGGTTTTCTAGATATACAATCATGTCATCTGCAAATAGGGATAATTTGACTTCCTCTTTTCCTAATTGAATACCCTTTGTTTCCTTCTCCTGCCTAATTGCCCTGGCCAGAACTTCCAACACTATGTTGAATAGGAGTGGTGAGAGAGGGCATCCCTGTCTTGTGCCAGTTTTCAAAGGGAATGCTTCCAGTTTTTGTCCATTCAGTATGATATTGGCTGTGGGTTTATCATAGATAGCTCTTATTATTTTGAGATATGTCCCATCAATACCTAATTTATTGAGAGTTTTTAGCATGAAGGTTGTTGAATTTTGTCAAAGGCCTTTTCTGCATCTATTGAGATAATCATGTGGTTTTTGTCTTTGGTTCTGTTTATATGCTGGATTACATTTATTGATTTGCATATATTGAACCAGCCTTGCATCCCAGGGATGAAGCCCACTTGATCATGGTGGATAAGCTTTTTGATGTGCTGCTGGATTCGGTTTGCCAGTATTTTATTGAGGATTTTTGCATCAATGTTCATCAAGGATATTGGTCTAAAATTCTCTTTTTTGGTTGTGTCTCTGCCTGGCTTTGGTATCAGGATGATGCTGGCCTCATAAAATGAGTTAGGGAGGATTCCCTCTTTTTCTATTGATTGGAATAGTTTCAGAAGGAATGGTACCTGTTCCTCCTTGTACCTCTGGTAGAATTCGGCTGTGAATCCATCTGGTCCTGGACTCTTTTTGGTTGGTAAGCTATTGATTATTGCCACAATTTCAGAGCCTGTTATTGGTCTATTCAGAGATTCAACTTCTTCCTGGTTTAGTCTTGGGAGGGTGTATGTGTCGAGGAATTTATCCATTTCTTCTAGATTTTCTAGTTTATTTGCGTAGAGGTGTTTGTAGTATTCTCTGATGGTAGTTTGTATTTCTGTGGGATCGGTGGTGATATCCCCTTTATCATTTTTTATTGCGTCTATTTGATTCTTCTCTCTTTTCTTTTTATTAGTCTTGCTAGCGGTCTATCAATTTTGTTGATCCTTTCAAAAAACCAGCTCCTGGATTCATTAGATTTTTGAAGGGTTTTTTGTGTCTCTATTTCCTTCAGTTCTGCTCTGATTTTAGTTATTTCTTGCCTTCTGCTAGCTTTTGAATGTGTTTGCTCTTGCTTTTCTAGTTCTTTTAATTGTGATGTTAGGGTGTCAATTTTGGATCTTTCCTGCTTTCTCTTGTGGGCATTTAGTGCTATAAATTTCCCTCTACACACTGCTTTGAATGTTGTCCCAGAGATTCTGGTATGTTGTGTCTTTGTTCTCGTTGGTTTCAAAGAACATCTTTATTTCTGTCTTCATTTCATTATGTACCCAGTAGTCATTCAGGAGCAGGTTGTTCAGTTTCCATGTAGTTGAGCGGTTTTGAGTGAGTTTCTTAATCCTGAATTCTAGTTTGATTGCACTGTGGTCTGAGAGACAGTTTGTTATAATGTCTGATCTTTTACATTTGCTGAGGAGAGCTTTACTTCCAACTATGTGGTCAATTTTGGAATAGGTGTGGTGTGGTGCTGAAAAAAATGTATATTCTGTTGATTTGGGGTGGAGAGTTCTGTAGATGTCTATTACGTCCGCTTGGTGCAGAGCTGAGTTCAATTCCTGGCTATCCTTGTTAACTTTCTGTCTCGTTGATCTGTCTAATGTTGACAGTGGGGTGTTAAAGTCTCCCATTATCATTGTGTGGGAGTCTAAGTCTCTTTGTAGGTCACTGAGGACTTGCTTTATGAATCTGGGTGCTCCTGTATTGGGTGCATATATATTTAGGATAGTTAGCTCTTCTTGTTGAATTGATCCCTTTATCATTATGTAATGGCCTTCTTTGTGTCTTTTGATCTTTGTTGGTTTAAAGTCTGTTTTATCAGAGACTAGGATTGCAACCCCTGCCTTTTTTTGTTTTCCATTTGCTTGGTAGATCTTCCTCTATCTTTTTATTTTGGGCCTGTGTGTGTCTCTGCCTGTGAGATGGGTTTCCTGAATACAGCACACTGATGGGTCTTGACTCTTTATCCAATTTGCCAGTCTGTGTCTTTTAATTGGAGCATTTAGTCCATTTACATTTAAAGTTAATATTGTTATGTGTGAATTTCATCCTGTCATTATGATGTTAGCTGTTTATTTTGCTCGTTAGTTGATGCAGTTTCTTCCAGCCTTGATGGTCTTTACAATTTGGCATGATTTTGCAGTGGCTGGTACCAGTTGTTCCTTTCCATGTTTAGTGCTTCCTTCAGGAGCTCTTTTAGGGCAGGCCTGGTGGTGACAAAATCTCTCAGTATTTGCTTGTCTGTAAAGTATTTTATTTCTCCTTCACTTATGAAGCTTAGTTTGGCTGGATATGAAATTCTGGGTTGAAAATTCTTTTCTTTAAGAATGTTGAATATTGGCTCCCACTCTCTTCTGGCTTGTAGAGTTTCTGCCAAGAGATCCGCTGTTAGTCTGATGGGCTTCCCTTTGTCTCTGGCTGCCCTTAACATTTTTTCCTTCATTTCAACTTTGGTGAATCTGACAATTATGTGTCTTGGAGTTGCTCTTCTCGAGGAGTATCTTTGTGGCATTCTCTGTATTTTCTGAATCTGATTGTTGGCTTGCCTTGCTAGATTGGGGAAGTTCTCCTGGATAATATCCTGCAGAGTGTTTTCCAACTTGGTTCCATTCTCCCCGTCACTTTCAGGTACACCAATCAGACGTAGATTTGGTTTTTTCACATAGTCCCATATTTCTTGGAGGCTTTGTTCATTTCTTTTTATTCTTTTTTCTCTAAACTTCCCTTCTCGCTTCATTTCATTCATTTCATCTTCCATCACTGATACCCTTTCTTCCAGTTGATTGCATCAGCTCCTGAGGCTTCTGCATTCTTCACGTAGTTCTTGAGCCTTGGCTTTCAGCTCCATCAGCTCCTTTAAGCACTTCTCTGTATTGGTTATTCTAGTTATACATTCGTCTAAATTTTTTTCAAAGTTTTTAACTTCTTTGCCTTTGGTTTGAATTTCCTCCTGTAGCTCGGAGTAGTTTGATCGTCTGAAGCCTTCTTCTCTCAATTTGTCAAAGTCATTCTCTGTCCAGCTTTGTTCCGTTGCTGGTGAGGAGCTGTGTTCCTTTGGAGGAGGAGAGGCGCTCTGCTTTTTAGAGTTTCCAGTTTTTCTGCTCTGTTTTTTCCCCATCTTTGTGGTTTTATCTACTTTTGGTCTTTGATGATGGTGATGTACAGATGGGTTTTTGGTGTGGATGTCCTTCCTGTTTGTTAGTTTTCCTTCTAACAGACAGGACCCTCAGCTGCAGGTCTGTTGGAGTTTGCTAGAGGTCCACTCCAGACCGTTTGCCTGGGTATCAGCAGCAGTGGCTGCAGAACAGCGGATTTTCGTGAACCGCGAATGCTGCTGTCTGATCGTTCCTCTGGAAGTTTTGTCTCAGAGGAGTACCCGGCCGTGTGAGGTGTCAGTCTGCCCCTGCTGGGGGTGCCTCCCAGTTAGGCTGCTCAGGGGTCAGGGGTCAGGGACCCACTTGAGGAGGCAGTCTGCCTGTTCTCAGATCTCCAGCTGCATGCTGGGAGAACCACTGCTCTCTTCAAAGCTGTCAGACGGGGACATTTAAGTCTGCAGAGGTTACTGCTGCCTTTTTGTTTGTCTGTGCCCTGCCCCCAGAGGTGGAGCCTACAGAGGCAGGCAGGCCTCCTTGAGATGTGGTGGGCTCCACCCAGTTCGAGCTTCCCGGCTGCTTTGTTTACCTAAGCAAGCCTGGGCAATGGTGGGCACCCCTCCCCCAGCCGCGCTGCTGCCTTGCAGTTTGATCTCAGACTGCTGTGCTAGCAATCAGTGAGACTCCGTAGGTGTAGGACCCTCCGAGCCAGGTGCGGGATATAATCTCCTGGTGTGCCGTTTTTTAAGCTCATCAGAAAAGTGCAGTATTAGGGTGGGAGTGACCCGATTTTCCAGGTGCCATCTGTCACCCCTTTCTTTGACTAGCAAAGGGAACTCCCTGACCCCTTGCGCTTCCCAAATGAGGGAAAGATGTTACAGGAAATGGTCTCAATCCAGACCCCAAAAGAGGGTTCTTGGATCTCGTGCAAGAAAGAATTCAGGGCCAGTCTGTAAAGTGAAAACAAGTTTATTAGGAAAGTAAAGGAATAAAAGAATGGCTACTCCATAGACAGAGCAGCCCCTCCAGGGGATTCTGATGCACAATAAGGTTTGGTGAAAGCCATTGAACAAGATACATGTGGACTCTGCCTTCATGGAGGCTGTGGAAGTCTTTAACATATACCTAATCTGTCAAGGGTTTTTACTTTCCTGGTATTATTTGTAAATGGGAAGAGAAAGTAATGTTTAATGAATAATTACTGTGTACCAGACACTTGAAAGCATGCTCTCAACTTTGAATATTCCAATAACAACCTTAAAATATAGATGTTACTATTCCTATGTTTATAGACAAGAAGACCAAGTCTCAGGTCTTAAAACTTTTATATAGCAGAGCTGGGATTTGAATCTATCCTTCATTGCCCATGCCCTTTCTTCTCTGTTACTTCTTTTTTTTTTTTTTTTTTTTTTGAGATGGAGTCTCACTTTTGTTGCCCAGGCTGGAGTGCAATGGCATGATCTTGGCTCACTGCAACCTCCGCCTCCCAGGTTCAAGTGATTCTCCTGCCTCAGCCTCCCGAGTAGCTGGGATTACGGGGACCCACCACCACACCCAGCTAATTTTTGTATTTTTAGTAGAGGCAGGGTTTCACCATGTTGGCCAGGCTGGTCTCGAACTCCTGACCTTAGGTGATCTGCCTGCCCAAGCCTCCCAAAGTGCTGGGATTACGGGCATGAGCCACTGCACCTGGCTCTACTCTGTTACTTCTAAGGAATGTGAATATTCTCAGGTTCTTGACATATGTTGCCAAATTGTTGTCTGCAAGTCAGTCAATGTCCGGTACTTGGAAATTTCCAATATTCACATTCTCTGGGAAGCAGACTTAGCTAGAGATTTACACTTAGAAAGTTTAGTGTTCAGAAAGTTTTTTAGGGAGTACTTTGGGACCAGTACTCATGGAAGAGGAAAGAGAGTAAGCAAGGTTGGGCAGAGGGCTAAGCTGGGCTATGGTACAGCCTCAACAAATATTTCAGCTGTCTCCTTTGGGTGCTCTGAAGATAGAGTGGCCTTTCAGAGTCTTTCCTAGTGGAGATGAGGGGCTGGGTCATTATACATTAGTGATGATCTGTCACTAGGTTCTGTTGACCCTAGGAAGGGGGTGTGCCCTTGGGCAAGATGCTTTCTACAGTAGACAGTTCCATAAGAGGGCAGACAGTTGAGGGCTATTTACCAAAAGCCAGTCCTCCCAGCTATTGGGAGATAAGTCCCAATTCTTGAAGACAGGGTGGCATATCACTAGTACAGTAATATAGATAAAAGTTTTTTAATGATAGTTTAGCAAACGTGAAGTTTTTAATTTATTTAAATTTTATTTATTAAATTGCCTGTGAATGTGACACTTTCTTCATGCATGTTTTATCAGGTAAGTGCTTCTTTCTCCCTTGAAAATTGTAATTCTGCAGAGAGGGAGCTACTGTAAATTTAAGCTTTTTGTTTGTTTGTTTGTTTGAGGTTGAGTTTCGTTCTTGTTGCCTAGGCTGGAGTGCAATGGCACAATCTCGGCTCATTGTAACCTCTGCCTCCTGGGTTCAAGTGATTCTCCTGCCTCAGCCTCCCGAGTAGCTGGGACTACAGGCACCTGCCACCACACACAGCTAATTTTTGCATGGTTTTTTTGGTAGAAACGGGGTTTCACCATGTTGGCCAGGCTGGTCTCAAACACCTGACCTCATAATCTGCCCATCTCTACCTCCCAAAGTGCTGGGATTACAGGTGTGAGCCACCACGCCTGGCCTGCATTTAGTTTAGAGGTCATCTTTTGGAATTGGTACTAAGATGCACAGAAATTGAACACAGATTTAGTAATAATTTCTGCGGTTACTTCACTGGATGTTGTAGAGCTGTTATGACAACTAAATCAGTTAGATGTTTAAAGCACTTAGACCAGTTAATCGTGCATATTGTTGTAAATAAACATTTTAAAACTTACTTTAAAAAGAAATGCAGACTGGGCGTGGTGGCTCATGCCTGTAATCCCAGCACTTCAGGAAGCCAAGGCTGTAGATCACTTGAAGTCAGGAGTTTGAGACCAGCCTGACCAACATGTTGAAACCCTGTCTCTACTAAAAATACAAAAAAAATTAGCTGGGTTTTGTGGTGCGCTCCTGTAGCCCCAGCTACTTGGGAGGCTGAGACAGCAGAATCGCTTGAACACGGGAGGAAGAGGTTGCAGTGAGACGAAATGGCATCACTCCATTCCAGCCTGGGTGACAGAGTAAGACTGTCTCAAAAAAAAAAAGAAAAAGAAAAAGAAATGCAATTGTACTAATGTTCTGCAAATGGCTTCTTGTAATTGGAGATATTATTTCCTGTGATAGCATCATACAAAGATTTAAAAAGTATTACATCTTAAACTGTTCAGATGGAATAAAGATGATATACTGTGGTGGGCAGGATAATAGCCTCCCAAAGATGTCCCCAGAACCTCTGATTTTGCTAGGTTACATGGCAAAGGGGAATTAGAATTATAGATGGAATTAAGGTTGCTAATCAGCTGATTTTAAGATTGGGAGAGTATCCGGTTTATCCAGTTGGGCTCAGTGTAATCACAAGAATCATTAGAAGTAGAAGCTAGGCTAGACGCAGTGGCTCACACCTGTAGTCCCAGCACTTTGGGAGGCCAAGTCGGATGGATCACCTGAGGTCAGGAGTTCAAGACCAGCCTGACCAACATGGTGAAACCCTGTCTCTACTAAAAATACAAAAAATACAAAAATTAGTCAGATGTGGTGGTGCATGCCAATAATCCGAGCTACTTGGGAGGCTGAGGCAGGAGAATCGCTTGAACCTGGGAGACGGAGGTTGCAGTGAGCTGAGATCGTGCCATTGCACTCCAGCCTGGGTGACAAGAGCGAAACGTCTCAAAAAAAAAAAAAAAAAAAAGTAGAAGCTAGAGGCAGAAGAGGCAGTGTCAGTGTGACGTGAGAATGTTTCAGCTGGCCATTGTTTATTCTGAAGATGGAAGAGGGTCATGAGCTAAGGAGTGTGCAGCCTCTAAGCCTCTAGAAGCTGGAAAAACTTTCCTCATATGATAAGGAAGCTATCATGTAAAGGTTCATCTTACATTTCTTGCTGTTTTCTTTCTTTCTTTTGCTGGCAAATATCATTCAGGGGCCACAGTATGGGCTGCAGCGGTGTTCATTGCTACTGGGTTGGTCTTCGTTTCTGGGCCTTTTTAAAGGACAGAGCTGCCTCTGTTGGATTAATTCCTACAAGTAGAATAGATTTAAGGAAGATATGAGTAGTTTTTATATTATTATTAGAAAATACAAAAAAGAAAAGGTTTCAAAAATATAGAAAGTAGAGAGAATAAGCCAGGCGTGGTGGCTCACGCCTGTAATCCCAACACTTTGGGAGGCAGGTGGATCACTTGGTCAAGAGTTCGAGACCAGCCTGGGCAACATGGCGAAACCCTGTCTCTACTAACAGTACAAAAAAAATTAGCTGGGTGTGGTAGTGGGTGCCTGTAATCCCAGCTACTTGTGAGGCTGAGGCAAGATAATTGCTTAAACCTGGGACGTGGAGGTTGCAGTGAGCCGAGATTGCACCACTGCACCCCAGCCTGGGCCACAAAGACTCCATCTCAAAAAAAAAAAAGCGTAGACAAAGAAAGTAGAGAGAATAGTATAATGGACACCTGTATATGCTTGTCATGTCAGTTTAACAATTGTTAACATGTTACCATACCATATTTGCTTCATTTCCTTTTTTTTTTTTTTTTTTTTTTTTGAGATGGAGTCTTACTCTGTCACCCAGGCTGGAGTGCAGTGGTACGATCTCTGCTCACTGCAACCACTGCTTCCCAGGTTCAAGCGGTTCTCCTCCCTCAGCCTCCCAAGTAGCTGGGATTACAGACTTGCACCACTATGCCCAGCTAATTTTTATATTTTTAGTAGAGATGGGGTTTTCCCGTGTTGGCCAGGCTGGTCTTGAACACCTGACCTGAGGTGATCAACCCACCTCACCCTCTCAAAGCGCTGGGATTACAGATGTGAGCCACTGCACTCGGCCCATCTCTTATTTTTTGCTTAAGCATTTTAAATTATATACGGAGTAGCATTTCATTCCTAAATACTTTACATTGTAATTCTAAAAAAAAAATACGTTTTCTTACAAAACTGTACAGTTTAAATTGTGATTCATAGGTTGGGTATGGTGGCTCATGCCTGTAATTGCAGCACTTTGGGAGGCTGAAGAGGGAGGATTGCTTGAGCTCAGGAGTTTGAGACCAGCCTAGGTAACGTAACAAGATCCCTGTCTCTAGCAAAAATAAATAAATAAATAAATAAGTACATAAATAAAAAATAAAATCAGCCAGGCATGGTGGCATGTGCCTGTAGCCCCAGCTACTTGGGAAGCTGAAATGGGAGGATTGCTTGAGCCCAGGAAGTTGAGCCTGCAGTGAACCGTGATCGTGCCACTGCACTCCAGGCTGGGTGACAGAGCAAGTCTCTGTTTCAGAAAAAAGAAAGTTGTGATTCATATTGTCAAATTGCTGAACAGAATTTTTTTTTTTTTTTTTTTTTTTTTTTTAGACAGAGTCTCGCTCTTGTTGCCCAGGCTGGAGTGCAGTGGTGGGATCTTGGCTCACTGCAACCTCCGCCTCCTGGATTCAAGCAATTCTCCTGCCTTAGCCTGCCGAGTAGCTAGGATTACAGGCACCCCCCTCCATGCCCAGCTAATTTTTGTATTATTGGTAGAGATGGGGTTTCACTGTGTTGGCCAGGCTGATCTCGAACTGCTGACCTCAGGTGATCCGCCCACCTCAGCCTCCCAAAGTGCTGGGATTACATGCCTGAGCCACCACGCCTGGCCCAGAATTGTTTTAAATCAGTAAATCCAGATTATTGAAAAACTTGATTCTATTTCACATCTTGGTTTAATTCTTTAGTCCAAAGTGGTGTCCATTCTTTAAGATTTTAAGATGGGGTAGTCACATGCTCTTTTAATCTGCTGTCTTTTAACAAAATTATTTGCCAGGCATGGTGACTCAGGCCTGTAGTCCCAGCTACTGGGAGGCTGAGGTGGGAGGATTGCTTGAGCCCATAAGTTCATGGCTGCAATGAGCTATAATCCAGCCTGGGCAACAGAGTGAGATGCTGTCTCTAAAAAAATTAATAAAAAAAAATTCTGCTTTAGCTTTTTTCTTGATTAATTTTAGACATGAGTTTCTTAGCTTCCCATATAGAGAAAAATCTAATTTTTATCCCACCATTTCCTGTGGTTACACTTTGTTTTTCACCAAAATGAAATGTTTGTTTATAAAGACTTCTGTAGCATTTATTTACCTACTATTGGCTTTTCACATTATTTATATACTGAGTTATAATGCTAGAGATATTTTAAAAAATAGTATTTAATGGTCGGGCGTGGTGGCTCACGCCTGTAATCCCAGCACTTTGGGAGGCCGAGGTGGGTGGATCACAAGGTCAGGAGATCGAGACCTTCCTGGCTAACACGGTGAAACCCTGTCTCTACTAAAAATACAAACAATTAGCCTGGTGTGGTGGCACGTGCCTGTAATCCCAGCTACTTGGGAGGCTGAGGCAGGAGAATCGCTTGAACCCAGGAGGTGGAGGTTGCGGTGAGCCGAGATGGCGCCACTGCACTCCAGCCTGGGTGACAGAGTGAGACTGTCTAAAAAAAATAGTATTTATTGATTATATCTTATTATTGTTGTTTTATTGCTGTTCTTGTTCCAGAGTTTTAAATGTTTTTTTTTCATTTACTGTATTGAAATATATTGAAATAATAATACCTGGAGAATAGAGTTGACACAGGTAGTCTGGTAGCAAATCTCTTCATAAAGTATGTACAGCAGTGATGTTCTTTTAGCAGTTGTATACACCTTTCAGAAGAATCATGCTTTTATCCTCCTACAGAGCAAATAGATATATATGTATTTTAATATGGTAATGACATGATATGTTTTCATGTTCTGGGAGTGGATGAAGGAAACAGCTAAGCTTACTGACTGTTGCCTAGGGGAACATCTAAAGATTGTATCAAACCAAAGTTCCTGCCTTTGACAGACACACCGTGGTATTTAGGTGAAAATTGTAGTGTAATTAAGTAGGTAATTAAGTTATTTATTTCATTTAGTGATTTCAGGGTGCATATTGTAGTTTACTTATTACTAGGATGCAGCCCTACTTAAAATTTGTAACAAATTTTATTTTATTTTTATTTATTTTTTTGAGACGGAGTCTCGCTCTGTCGCTCAGGCTGGAGTGCAGTGGTGCAATCTCAGCTCATTGCAAGCTCTGCCCGCTGGGTTCACGCCATTCTCCTGCCTCAGCCTCCCGAGTAGCTGGAAATACAGGCGCCCACCACTACGCCCAGCTACTTTTTTGTATATTTAGTAGAGACGGGGTTTCACCGTGTTAGCCAGGATAGTCTCGATCTCCTGACCTCGTGATCCACCTGCCTCGGCCTCCCAAAATGCTGGGATTACAGGCGTGAGCCACCATGCCTGGCCTGTAATGAATTTTATTATAGACATTTGATAATTTTTGATAATTTCTTTTTTTTTTTTTTTTTTTTTTTTTGAGACAGGTTGTCACTCTGTTGCCCAGGCTGGAGTTCAGTAGTGCTATCATAGCTCACTGTAACTATAGCTTCTGCACCTGGGCTGAAGTGATTCTCTCACCTTAGCCTCCCAAGTTGCTGGGACTACAGATGTGCACCACCATGCCCAGCTAATTTTTTGTATTTTTTAGAGAGCGGGTTTTGCCAGGCTGGTGTTTAGCACCTGGGCTCAAGCAATCTGCCTGCCTAGGCCTCCCAAAGTGCTGGGATTACAGGTGTGAACCACCACACCTAGCCCTTATTTTTTGAGACAGAGTCTTGCTCTGTAGCCCAGGGTGGAGTGCAGTGGCATGATCATAGCTCACTGAAGCCTCAACCTCTGGGGCCCAAGTGATCGTCCCACCTCAGTCTCCTGAGTAGTTGGGATTACAGGCACTAGCCACCATACCTTGCTAATTTTTTGTTGAGACAAGGTCTTCCTATGGCGCCCAGACTGGACTTGAACTCCTGGGCTCAAGCGATCCTCCTGCCTTGGCCTCCGAAAGTGCTGGGATCACAGGCATGAGCCACAGTTCCAGGCCAGCTTATATATTTGTAATGCTGATTACTATTCCATTGTCTGGATGTACCACGGTTTATTCTTCACCTACTAAAGGATATTTTGTTTTCTGGTTTGGGGAATTATGAGTAAAGTTGCTTTAAACATTTGTGTGCAGGTTTTTGTGTGGACATAAATTTTCAACTTATTTGGGTAAATACCAAGGAGGATGATTTCTGGATTGTTGGATTAATTCTTTTAATTTTTGTGGGTACATAGTAGGTGTATATATTTATAGGGTACAAGAGAGATTTTGATACAGGCATATAATACATAATAATCACATCTAGGTAAATGAGGTATCCATCACCATTTATTCTCTGTTTGTTACAAACAGCCCAATTATACCCTTTTAGTTATATAAAGATGCACAATAAATTATTGTTGATGGTAGTCACCCTGTCATGCTATCAAACACTAGATCTTATTTATGCTATCTGTATTTTTGTGCCCATTAACCATTCCCACTCTCTCCCCCTGCCCAGCCCCCCAGCCTTTAGTAACCATCATTCTACTTCTTCTTCTTCTTTTTTTTTTTTTTAAGGTGGAGTCTCGCTCTGTCGCCCAGGCTGGAGTGCAGTGGTGCCATCTTGGCCCACAGCAACCTCCGCCTCCTGGGTTCAAGCAATTCTTCTGCCTCAGCCTCCCAAGTAGCTGGGATTACAGGTGTGCACCACCACACCTGGCTAAATTTTGTATTTTTAATGGAGACGGGGATTTGCCATGTTGGCCAGGCTGCTCTCGAACTCCTGACCTCAGGTGATCCACCTGCCTTAGCCTCCCAAAGTGCTGAGATTACAGACATGAGCCACCGTGCCCAGCCCCGTTCTACTTGCTATCTCCATGAGTTCAATTATTTTCATTTTTTTAGCTCCTGCAAGTAAGTGAGAACATGTGAGGTTTGTCTTTCTGTGCTTGACTTATTTCATTTAACATAATGACCTCCAGTTCCACCCATGTTGTTGCAAATGACAGGATCTCATTATTTTTTAAGGCTGGATAGTATTTTATTGTGTATGTGTTTATTTTCTTTTTCTTTTTCTTTTTTTTTCTTTTGAGACAGAGTCTCGCTTTGCCGCCCAGGCTGGAGTGCAGTGGAGCGATCTCGGCTCACTGCAAGCTCCGCCTCCTGGGTTCACGCCATTCTCCTGCCTCAGCCTCCGAGTAGCTGGGACTACGGGTGCCCACCACCACGCCCGGCTAATTTTTTGTATTTTTAGTAGAGATGGGATTTCACCATGTTAGCCAGGATGGTCTCGATCTCCTGACCTCATGATCTGCCCGCCTCTGCCTCCCAAAGTGCTGGGATTACAGGCGTGAGCCACCGTGCCCGGCCCTTATGTGTTTATTTTCTTTATCCATTCATCTGTTGATGGACACTTAGGTTGATTCCAAACCTTGGCTATTTTGAATAGTGCTGCAGTAAACATAGGAGTGCAGATGTCTCTTCTATATACTGGTTTTCTTTCTTTTTGGTATATAACTAGCAGTGGGATTGCTGGAACATATGGCAGTTCTATTTTTAGTTTTTTGAGGAATCTCCAAACTGTTCTCCATAGTGGTTGTACTAATTTACATTCCCACTAACAGTGTGTGAGGGTTCCCTTTTCTCTAGCATTTATTATATCCTCTCTTTTGGATAAAAGTCCTTTTAACTGGAGTGATGTGATATCTCATTGTAGTTTTGATTTGCATTTCTCTGATGATCAGTGATGTTGAGCACCTTTTCATGTACCTGCTTGCCATTTGTATGCCTTCCTTTGAGAAATGTCTATTCAGATCTTTTGCCCATTTCTTAATCGGATTAATAGATGTTTTTCCCATTGAATTGTTTGAGCTCCTTATTATATTCTGGTTATTAATCCCTTATTAGATGAGTAGTTTGTAAATATTTTCTCCCATTCTGTGAGTTGTCTCTTCACTTTGTTGATTGTTTATTTATTTATTTATTTATTTATTTATTTTTCTTTTGAGACAAGAGTCTCGCTCTGTCTCCAAGCTGGAGTGCAGTAGCGCCATCTTGGCTCACTGCAACCTCCACCGCCCTGGCTCAAGCGATTCTTTTGCCTTAGCCTTCCGAGTAGCTGGGACTACAGGGGTGCGCCACCACGCCCAGCTAATTTTTGTATTTTTAGTAGAGACGGGGTTTCACCACGTTGGCCAGGATGGTCTCAATCTCTTTTTTTTTTTTTTTTTTGAGACGGAGTCTTGCTCTGTCGCCCAGGCTGGAGTGCAGTGGCGCGATCTGGGCTCACTGCAAGCTCCGCCTCCTGGGTTCACGCCATTCTCCTGCTTCAGCCTCCCGAGCAGCTGGGACTACGGGCGCCCGCCAGGATGCGCGGCTAATTTTTTGTATTTTTTAGTAGAGACAGGGTTTCACCGTGGTGCTAGCCAGGATGGTCTCGATCTCCTGACCTCGTGACCTTGTGATCCACCCGCTTTGGCCTCCCAAAGTGCTGGGATTACAGGCGTAAGCCACCGCGTCCGGCACTTTGTTGATTGTTTCTTTCGCTATGCAGAACTTTTGTGATGGATTAATTATTTTTAATTCTTGTGATGTCAGTGAAGTTGGGCCTGATTATGATTGGCTTTTCATGTGGCTTGAGTCCATGGAGAATAGGAAACAAATTAGGTTGACCAGAGTAATCAGGTTTGTGTGACAGCTTTATTAATCATTGTGAATTAATAAACCTGTGTGCTAGTGTCTGGTTCAGTCTTCTGTGCATTTGGAATTTTCAAATTGAGGCTATCAGGGTTTGTTCGCCCTGGATGTAGAAAGCAAAAATCTGGATCTTACACATTCCTGGGATCTGACTGGTGAGGTATACCCTTATACCATGTCTGTCCACTCTCTTACTCATACTGGTTTCTGTAGTTGCTCCTCTATCATTAATGTACTGGCCCCAGGGGAAAAGCTTGCTAAACCATAGATATTCTTCGTCAGACTTACAGCTAATCACAGTTGAATGCTGGCCTTGCTCCTTCTGTCTGCTTTGGCTTGAAAAATGACTTGTGCTTTGCAGTGTGAGAGAATGGCCTTATTTTGTGCATTCTTCTTTGTAGCATCCATCAATTCAACCCATTCTGATAGTTTCTATGATGATAACATTTACTTCTTTCTTTTTTTTTTTTTTCTTTTGAGATGGAGTTTTGTTCTTGTCGCCCAGGTTGGAGTACAATGGTGCGATCTTGGCTCACTGCAACCTACACCTCCTGGGTTCCAGCAATTCTCCCAACTCAGCCTCCCAACTAGCTGGGATTACAGGCACCCGCCACCACGCCCGGCTAATTTTTCTATTTTTAGTAGAGATGGGGTTTTGCCATGTTGGTCAGGCTGGTCTCAAATTCCTGACCTCAGGTGATCCACCTGACTTGGCCTCCATAAGTGCTGGGACCATAGGTGTGAGCCACCGTGCCCGGGTATTGGAAAATGTTTTCTTTTAATGAGAGCATTTATACCATTTATGTTTTACTTAATTATTGATAATTTGGGTTTATATCTCTCATCTTACTACTTGCTTTTTGTTTGTTTTGCTGACATTCTGTTCCTTTTTTTCTCCCTTCATTGGATGACGATGATGATTATTTGTGGTGTTTTCTTTTTTTTTTTTTTGAGACAAGGTCTTACTCCATTGCTCAGGCTGGAGTGCAGTAGCACTATCTGCAAATTCTGCCTCCTGGGTTGAAGCAGTCCTCCCACCTCAGCCTTCCGAGTAGCTGGGACTACAGCTACTGTAGTCCCAGCTACTCGGAAGGCTAAGGCAAAAGAATCGCTTGAGCCGGGCTTATTTTTGTAGTTTTTGTAGAGATGTGGTTTCACTATGTTACCTAGGCTGATCTCAAATTCCAGAGCTCAAGCAATCAGCCAGTCTTGGCCTCCCAAAGTGCTGGGATCATGGGCGTGAGCTCCCGTGCCCAGCCACTATTTCTTTTCTTTTTTTCTTTTTTGAGACAGAGTCTCCCTCTGTCACTCAGGCTGGAGTGCAGTGGCTCAACCTTGGCTCACTGCAACCTCCATACCTCAGGCTCAAGCGATCCTCCCACCTCAGCCTTCTGGGTAGCTGGGATCACAGGCATGCACCACCATGCCCAACTATTTTTTTGTATTTTTAGTAGAGACGGGGTTTTGCCATGTTGCCTAGGCTGGTCTCGAACTCCTGAGCTCAAGCAATCCACCCGCCTTCACCTCCCAAAGTGCTGGGATTACAGGCGTGAGCCACCAAGCCTAGAGATGATTATTTTTACCTTGTGTTTCTTCTCCATTAGTTTGGAGTTGTGGTGGTATGATATATATTGGTTTTTGTTCATGGTTCCTGGTTCTCAACTCCCATACCTCTTGTTACAGTCTTTTGTTATAATATTGGTGTGTCAGGCCTCAGGAAACAGGATCTCTCTCCTGCCCTCCATTCTCCTGCCCCAAGGCAGAACTCTAATCTTCTTCCACCATTCTGACTGTGGGTCATAAGACCCTCCCGGAGAGGCTCCCACCCCTCTACACTAGAGGCAGGAATGCTAATGTCTTTGAACTTCTAGATAGCTGAATCTGTGAAGGTTCTTGCATCCATGGAGGGCTTGGAAGCTCCACAGCCCTTCCCCTGTACCTCGCCTTAGCACACCTCTTCATCTAGATTCTTTGCAATATTTTTTATAATAAACCTGTAAATGTAAGTAAGTGTTTTCCTGAGTTCTGTGAGCCGCTCCAGCAAATTAATCAAATACAAAGAGGGGGCTGTTGGAACCCCAGCTGTTTGAAGCTGGTCGGTCAGAAGTTCCAGACGCCCAGGCTAGTGGCTGGTGGTCTGACACTATGTCCAGTCAGATAGTGTCAGAATTGAATTGGCGGACACCCAGATGGCATCCCCTGCTTGGTGTGTGGGGAAAACCCCCACACATTCGGTCACAGAAGTCATCTGTGCTGATTGTTGTAGTGTGAGGAATAGTGTAGCAGAGGAAAGACATGGTTTGGAGAGTTTTAACTTATGCAGTAGTTATTCATTTTTTATTTTTCCTTACACAGCAGTTAATTTTTTATTATTTAGAGGTAAGTCTAGAGATTAAAATATGCATCTCTGGTTTACAGAAATCTAGTCTAATAATTATACCTCCTTTTGGACCCATGAAAGACCTTAGAACATGCCATTTATCACCTTCCTAACTCATATGTGTGACATTTTAACCGATGTTTATTTTAAACCCGAAGAACTGATATTATTACTTTACATTGTCTGTATTACTTTAACTTCACCCATATATTTACCCTTTTCTTGCCTTTTATCTCCCCACTCCTTGTATCTTTAGGCTTCTATCTGGTATAATTTTCTTTTTCCTTGAAGACTACCTTTATTGGGTTTTTGCTGAAATTGAAGGAAAAAATTATTTTTCCTCTTTTTTTTTTTTTTTTTTTTTTTTTTGAGATGGAGTCTCGCCCTGTCGCCTAGGCTGGGGTGCAGTGGCGTGATCTCGGCTCACTGCAACCTCCGCCTTCCGGGTTCACGCCGTTCTCCTGTCTCAGCCTCCGGAGTAGCTGGGGCTATAGGCGCTCGCCACCGTGCCTGGCTAATTTTTTGTATTTTTAGTAGAGACGGCGTTTCACTGTGTTAGCCAGGATGGTCTCGAACTCCTGACCTCGTGATCCGCCTGCCTCTGCCTCTCAAAGTGCTGGGGTTACAGGCGTGAGCCACTGTGCCCAGCCTTTTTTTTTTTTGAGACGGAATTTTGCTCTTGTTGCCCAGGCTGGAGTGCAGTGGCATGATCTCGGCTCACTGCAACCTCCGCCTCCCGGGTTCAAGTGATTCTCCTGCCTCAGCCTCCCGAGTAGCTGGGATTACTGTCATGTGTCACCACACCTGGCTAATTTTGTATTTTTAGTAGAGATGGGGTTTCTTCACGTTGGTCAGGCCAGTCTCGACCAGTCTCGAATTCCTGACCTCAGGTGATCCGCCCACTTTGGCCTTGCAAAGTGCTGGGACTACAGGCGTAAGCCACTGTGCCTGGGCTTTTTTTTTTTTTTTAATTTTTATTGTAGCCACATACATAACATAAAGTTTGCCATTTTAACCACTTTTCAATTTAACATTTTAAATTGTGGTAAAATATACGTAACATAAAATTTACCATCTGAACCAGTTTTGAATGTACAGTTTAGTAGTAACTACCCTAAGTATCTCATATAAGTGGAATATGGTATTTGTCCTTTTATGGTGGCTTATTTCTCTTAGTGTAATGTCCTCAAGGGTCAGTTTTGTTTAGTGTGCTCAATAAATTTTAGCCATTCTTGTTTTCTGGAGTGGTGGTTTTTGTTGGCTTTTTCACCCAGACATGCTATGGCATTTGCTGATTGAAGTCCTGAGTATAAGGCTAACTTGTCCATTCCCTCCTCCCCAAGTGGTATCTGTGTGATATGGTTTCCGCTGCAAATTGGTATTTGCTTGCAGAAAACTGGAGCATTGCCTGTATCATCATCTGTTACTCATTTGGTTTTTCTTGTTCTGCTAGGACCCTGGTTAGGAGTAGAATGGGACAATCCCGAGAGAGGAAAGCATGATGGGAGCCACGAAGGGACTGTGTATTTTAAATGCAGGTAACTTTTCATTATGAATCAGCACGGTCATTTAGTCAAGATTATATTTAATACTTGAATAAGGAGGGATGGAGAGGAAGAAATGTTTGGCTCATGGAGTAGTTATATTATGGAATTTGTTGTATTCCAAAAAGGCAGTTATTTTATTTGTGGCTTAATTGCTGCTGTTTGTAGCATTTTTCCCTTTTTTAAAAAAATTCTGACTCTTGACCTTATGCATGGCGTTGCTTTCTTCGTCCTTTTTTTTTTTTTTTTTTTTTTTAACAGTCCTTTAAATTGGATGAATGTAAACCTTTCTGGCTCATTACCAATTTACAATCCAGTAAGTAAATAATAGAAAAGAGAAACAGCCTAGATTTCCAGTAAGAAGGAATTGATTACACAAAATACAGAACATCTGAATAGTGGAATGCTGAGCCACCATTAAATAAATTTCTTATCATAGGAAGAGTTACATGTCACATTGCATTTCTTTGTCTTTTTTTTTTTTTTTTTGAGACGGAGTCTCACTCTGTCGCCCAGCTGGAGTGCAGTGGCACAATCTCAGCTCACTGCAACCTCCACCTCCTAGGTTCAAGCAATTCTCCTGCCTCAGCCTCCTGAGTAGCTGGGATTACAGGTGCCCACGACCACGCCTGGCTAATTTCTGTACTTTTAGTGGAGACGAGGTTTCACCATATTGGCCAGGCTGGTCCCGAACTCCTGACCTTGTGATCCGCCCGCCTCAGCCTCCCAAAATGCTGGGATTACAGGTGTGAGCCACCACGCCCGGCCTGTCACATTGCATTTCTATTATTATTTTTGATCGCCTGATGTCAGAAAAACTGCATGAAGCCCTGAAAAGGGTGCTGGGGAGCCTTCAGGCAGAGCCTGTCTTCTAAATTTTTGTTGTTGTTGTTGATTTTTATTAGTTTTCAATTTCTGAAAACGATCTTTCCCTAGTAAGCTGTTTTTCCTTAAGTATGGTACAGTGAACACAATACTGCCCTGGAAATCAGGGGGCCTCTAGTCTGTTTTTAACAGTCTTTTTTGTTTGTTTGGTTGGTTTATTTGTTTATTTTTTGAGACATTGTCTCGCCTAGACTGGAATGCAGTGGCATGATCATGACTCACTGTCACCCTGAACTCCTGGGCTCAAGTGATCTTCGCGCCTCAGTCTCCTGAGTAGCTGGGACTACAGGCGTGCACCAGCACACCCAGCTAATTTAAAAAAATAAAAATAAAAAAGAGATGAAGTTTTTCTATGCTGCCCAGGCTGGTCTCAAACTCCTGGCCTCAAGCGATCCTCCCACCTCGGCTTCTCAAAGTGCTGGGATTACAGATGTGAGCCACTGCACCAGCCCCACTTTTAACAGTCTTTATGGTCCTGAACAAGACAAGTTTACTAACCTTTAAAATGAAGGTCAGAATTAGGTAACCACACAGCATATCTCCTGGTCCACTATTTCATAATTTTAGAAAGTCAGGGTGTTCTTAAAAGGCCAACTCTACTTGTAGACTTGCCATCTCTGAATTTGTTCAGAGCTGTTCAGGTTATATGGTTAGGGAGAAATATTTTAGCCAGGCCCACAGATTCCTTAGGTACCTGGACCATGACCTTACAAACCCTCCAGTGAAAGGACTTTTTTCTTTTTTTTGAGATGTAGTCTCACTCTGTGGCCAAGGCTGGAGTGCAGTGGCGTGATCTTGGCTCACTGCAACCTCCACCTCCCTGGTTCAAGCAATTCCCCTGCCTCAGCCTCCTGAGTAGCTGGGATCACAGGCGAACGCTACCACGTCTGGCCAATTTTTTTGTATTTTTAGTAGAGACGGGGATTTCACCAGGTTGGCCAGACTGTTCTCGAACTCCTGACCTCAGGCAGTCCACTGGCCTCGGCCTCCCAAAGTGCTGGGATTACAGGTGTGAGCCACCACCCCCTGTGAAAGGACTTTTTATTTGGAACTTACCCCAGCCTACTTCCTTCTTGTAAAAGCTTGCCCAAATTGTCCATACTTTTATGGTCTTTAATGGTCTCTGGATACAGTGATATTTTCAAAGTCTTGGTTGCTCTGAGCAGAAAAATCAAGAATTGCTTCAAGTCCTGGGTGATGCAGGGTTTGTCCTGAAATGCTAATGGGAAGCCTTGGTTCAGGGACATTGAGTCAGTATAGTCATGCATTGCTTAATGAAGGGGATGTGTTCTGAGAAATGCCTGTTAGGTGGTTTCATCATTGTGTGAACATCATAGTATACTTAACAAACCTGCGTGGTGTAGCCTACTGCACACCTAGGCTACTGTATGGCATAGCCTATTGCTTTTAGGCTATAAACCTGTACAGCATGTTACTGTGCTGAATACTGTAGGCAATTGTAACACAATGGTAAGTATTTATCTAAACATAGAAAAGGTACAGTAAAAATAAAAAATTGGCCGGGTGCGTTGGCTCACGCCTGTAATCCCAGCACTTTGGGAGGCCAAGGCAGGCGGATCACGAGGTCAGGAGTTCAAGACCAGCCTGGACAATATGATGAAACCCTATCTCTACTAAAAATATAAAAATTAGCCAGGCGTGGTGGCGGGCGCCTGTAGTCCCAGCTACTCAGGAGGCTGAGGCAGGAGAATTGCTTGAACCTGGGAGGTGGAGGTTGCAGTGAGCTGAGGTCGTGCCACTGCACTCCAGCCTGCGTGACAGAGCAAGACTCCGGCTCAAGAAAAAAAAAAAAGCAGTGTGGGGTGGTACGGGTGGTATGTGCCTGTTAGTACCAGCTACTTGGGTGGCTGAGTCATTAGGATTGTTTAAGCCCAGGAGTTTCAAGACCAGCCTAGGCAACACAATGAGATCTCATCATAAAAAAAAAAAAGATAGAAAATGGTATGCCTGCATAGGGCACTTAGCGTGAATGGACCTTGTAGGACTGGAAGTTGCTCTGGGTAAGTGAGTGAGTGGTGAGTGAATGTGAAGGCTGGGACATTCTTGTACCCTACTGTAGACTTTGGAAACACTGTAGCCTTAGGCTACACTAAACTTAGAAGTTTTTTCTTTCTTTAATAATAAATTAACTTTAGCTTCCTGTAACTTTTTTATGTTATAAACTTTAAATTTTTTTTTTTTTTGGGATGGATTCTTGCTCTGTCACCCAGGCTGGTGTGCAGTGGCATGATCTCAGCTCACTGCACTGCCTGGGTTCCAACGATTCTCTTGCCTTAGCCTCCTGAGTAGCTGAGATTACAGGCATGCGCCACCACACCTGGGTAATTTTTGTATTTTTAGTAGAGATGGGATTTCACCATGTTGGCCAGGCTGGTGTCGAACCCCTGACCTCGTGATCAACCCTCCTCAGCCTCCCAAAGTGCTGGGATTATAGGCGTGAGCCACCATGCCCGGTACTTTTTTTTTTTTTTTTTTTGGAGACAGAGTCTTGCTCCGTCACCCACGCTGGAGTGCAGTGGCACAACCTCGGCTCACTGCAACCTCTGCCTCCCAGGTTCAAGTGATTCTCCTGCCTCAGTCTTCCGAGTAGCTGGGACTACAGGCGCATGTCACCATGCCCAGCTAATTTTTGTATTTTTAGTGGAGACGGGGTTTCGCCATGTTGGCCATTCTGGTCTCGACCTCCTGATCTCAGGTGATCTGCCTGCCTTGGCTTCCCAAATTGCTGAGATTATAGGCATGAGCCACTGCACTGGACCTGAGCCTTCTTCCAGAATACCTCCTGAAGGACCTGCCTGAGGGTAGTTTACAATTAACTTTTTTTTTTTTTTTTTAATAAGTAGGAGTTTGCTGGGCACAGCAGCTCATGCCTGTAATCCCAGCACTTTGGGAGGCTGAGGCAGGAGGATCACCTGAAGTCAAGAGTTCGGGACCACCCTGGCCAACATGGTTAAACCCCGTCTCTACTAAAAACAGAAAAATTAGCTGGGCATGGTGGCATGCACCTGTAATCCTAGCTACTGGGAAGGTTGAGGCATGAGAATCACTTGAACCTGGGAGGTGGAGGTTGCAGTGAGCCAAGATCACACCATTGCACTCCAGCTTGGTCAGCAGAGTGAAACTGTGTCTCAAAAAAAAAAGAAAAAATAGAAGGAGTACACTCTAACATAATGATAAAAAGTATAGTATAGTGAACACTTAAACTAGTAACATAGCCATTTATTATCATTATCAAATATTATGTACTATACATAATTGTATGTGCTATACTTTTATGTGACTGGCAGTGTAGTAGGCTTGTTTACACCAGCATCACCACAAACACGAGTATTATGTTGTACTACAGCATTAAGACAGCTACAGCTTCACTAGGAGATAGGATTTTTTCAGCTCCAGTGTGATTATGGGACCACTGTAGCATATGCGGTCCATTGTTGATCTACACGTCATTATGTGGTGCATGACTGTATTTGGATTCTTAGCCTTGGAATAACTGCTTACTTCATTATATCGTCTAGTGTTGTGTTGTCATGCCTAAACATTTACATAATTGAAGTACATATTATCTTATTATAAATAACTTTTTAAAATTTAAATAGGCACTTTGTTGACATTAAAAAATTATATGAGTAGGTAATGTTATCTGTGAATTCCATTTCAGGATATTTATGGGGCAATACAAAAGAGATCATTGGGTCTGAAGTGGTGGAGAACCACTGGTCTGGACTACAGGAATTTAACTGGTCCTTTAGAGTTTGATGATTTCATGTCATGTTTTAGTTTCTCTGATCTCTTTTGTAACCTAAGGTAAATATAGTAATCTCCTGAGCTATTATTACCCATAATTAATATTTGTAACATTAGCAATTAATAGTGGTTTACAGTGTCAAAATAAAAATAAAATGTGCAGATGAATGTCTAAGTGTAACATTTTATTTGGGAAGCAAGAATTGCAGTTCAGGGCATCCGCACAGACTAGATCGTCTTTGGTATATCCAAAGAACAAAGAACAAAGAGAAACGTGGATTTTTTCTTTTAGTTTTTGAGACGGAGTCTCACTCAGTCGCCCAGGCTGGAGTGCAGTTGCACCATCTCGGCTCACTGCAACCTCCGCCTCCCGGGTCCAAGCGATTCTCCTGCCTCAGCCTCCTGAGTAGCTGGGACTACAGGTGCCTGCCACTACACCTGGCTAATTTTTGTATTTTTAGTAGAGATGGGGTTTCACCATATTGGCCAGACTGGTCTCGAACTCCTGAACTTTTGATCTGCCCACCTCGGCCTCCCAAAGTGCTGGGATTACAGGCATAAGCCACTGCTCCTGGGCTTTTTTTTTTTTTTTTTTTTTGAGACGGAGTTTCGCTCTTGTTGCCCAGGCTGGAGTGCAATGGCGTGATCTCGCCTCACTGCACCCTCCTTCTCCCAGGTTCAAGGGATTCTCCTGTCTCAGCCTTTTGAGTAGCTGGTATTATAGGAAAGTGCCACCACGCCTGGCTAATTTTGTATTTTTAGACAGGATTTCTCCATGTTGGTCAGGCTGGTCTCGAACTCCCGACCTCAGGTGTTCTGCCTGCCTTGGCCTCCCAAAGTGCTGGGATTATAGGCGTGAACCACTGCACCTGGCCCCCGCCTTTTTTTTTTTTTTTTGGACGCAGGGTCTTGCTCTGTCACCCAGGTAGTAGTACAGTGGCACAATCATGGCTCATTGCAGCCTCAACCTCCTATGCTCAAGCAGTTCTCCCACCTCATTTTTTGATTTTTTTGTAGAGATGGAGACTCCCTATTTTGCCCTGGCTGGTCTCAAACTCCTGGGCTCGAGTGATCCTCTTACCTCGGCCTCCCAAAGTGCTGGGATTACAGGTGTTACCCGCCGTGTCCTGTCTAGTACATTTTATAAAAAGGAGAAATGTTACATATTGTTCTGAAAGAAAGTTCATTGGCACTAGTCAAGTTTTGGAGAGCTGGCTAGCAAGCTCTGATTGGTGAGTGACAGTGGTGGGTAAGATTAGTCTTAGAGTCACGGCAGATTGTTTTAGTAGCTATTAAATAAAACTGGCTTCAGGTTACAACAGGCAGTCTCAGCAGCTGGGCTTGTAATAAACTGAATTCTTGGAGCAGGTGTTGTGTGCCCCGAGCACTTTTTCCCCTTGGTCCCTTGACTCTGATTTAGTTGGGTATGACAAGAATGACCCAGTTTCTGTAATCAACTTTCCCAAGATTTATCCAAGATTTATGGCCGTGCGCCAGTCACCCGTGTCCTTCCTAGGTACTCCTGCTCTCTACTTCTTGTTGAAGGGGTAGTTGAGGGGTTCAAATATGGTAAGTAACCTTGAAGTCCTCTTTACCTTGTCCGTAGACAGCAGAGTGGTTTTCAGTTTTTTTTTTCTTTCAACCTAAACCCCAGAGTATGCTCTGAACAGAGCTGTGTGTGTCAGTATTCTGCCCACTCACCTTTTATTTCAGTGCTTCTGTTTCCAAGCAATGGTAGAAGTTCTCTTTTCTGGTGAGAAATAAATCTTAAAATTTGACTTTTCTTCAACACTAGGGAGCAGAATCTAACTTTAATACTTAGCATCAGAGAGGTCGTGCTGTTCCAGCCTGTGTCTGTGATAATGGACATCTTAGGAAATGGATGGTTGACAATTTAAGAAACAAAGCCCTAGCAATAAAGGATAAGTGTTTGAAAGAAAGGATAAATGTTTGAAGTGATAGATACCCCATTCACCCTGATGTGATTGTTACACGTGTGCCTGTATCAAAATATTGTATGTACCCACAAAAATTAAAAATTAAACTAAAAAAAGAAAGCCCTTGATTTATTCATCTTTTGTGTGTCATAAGCCAGTTGTAAAGTGTTTTGAGGATCTTGGCTGAGCATTAATGGATTGGTATAAAATATTCTCTTGGTGTGGTGTAAAGTGTTGGAAGATTTTTTTTTTTTTTTAATCAGGAAATGTAATGATAGTATGTGGGCAAGGCGCATCTCTGTTCAAAAAGGTGGTAGCTCTGCTTCATTTTTGGAAGGTTTTCTTGAATCAGAGCAAAATCATAATTGTGTCAACGCAAAAGCAGTTGAGATGAATATTAAATTCAGCTGATTAGAGAAGCAAACAAAAAGAGCAGTCTACAGCAAGGTGCTTATCTACTGTACTGCTTTACTCACAGGAAAACAACCTCTCTGGGTCAGCTCTTTAGATGTTACAGCGCTGAACACTGCATGAAAGCTGAGTTCTCCTCTCCTGATGAACAGCTAGTTATGCAACCTTGCTGAACACTAAACATTCCTGAAACAAACAGGGTATCAAGATCAACAGTATTTATTAGAAACTCCCCAGAGACCTGGCCTTTTCCAGTAGCTTGTATCCAAAGCTCCAACAAGAAAGAAGCTTACTGTGGAAGTCTGGGAGTCTGTTGGGGACCCTTTACCTTTGTGTAGTGTTGCCAGATTCAGCAAACAAAAATACCAAATGCATAGTGAACTTTGGATTTCAGATAAACAGCCAATCTTTTTTTTTTTTTTTTTAGTATAAGTATGAGACATGCATGGGGGCATACTTACTTAAAAATGATTTGCTGTTTATCTGAAATACAAGCTTAACTGAGCATCTTCGATTCTATGTGGCAGTCCTGATGGGGACATAGGACAGAATGAATCTTGATAACTGGGTTTTATGAGCACATGCTGTTTCCACAAGGGCCATGGGTCAGGATGATGATTTTACCAGCAGCATGTGTAATTGGTAGGCAGAAGGAGGAAGGAACCTGAACAGGCCAAATGCTTCCAAGAGAAACGTTTTTGGACACCCCTCCCTGTATTCTCCTCCTCACCAACATTTTTCTCTTTAGACACGGTTTGGAATTTCAGTGTTTGGATACAGTTTCTTAATATATTAATGTAGAATCTCAGTGGAGTCTATGTAAATTATTACAGTTTACCTCTTGGAGATTTGTTGTTATTGATGGGCACCCATTCAGCTAGGGTTTTTCACTATTTGTTGAGGCTGTTTTGTTTTCTGAGAAACCTGCTGGAAATGTTCCAGAAAATATTGATCTTTAGTGTTAGTCTTTGATCTGTAAAGGGCATAGCATCCGTTTTGCAACTACCTAACAACATTCCTAACTCTCCTTTCATCTGCCTGCAACTAAACTCAACAGTAATAAAGATCTGTTCATGACTTCTTGTTTTTTTACCATGGTTTTAAAACTTGTTTATTACCACTGTTTTAAAAAGTGTAGATTTAGGGCCTGGCGCCGTGGCTCATGCCTGTAATCCCAGCACTTTGGGAAGCCGAGGTGGGCGGATCACTTGAGGTCAGGAGTTCGAGACCAGTCTGTCCAACATGACGAAACCCCGTGTCTACTAAAAATGCAAAACTTAGCCGGGCGTGGTGGTGGGCACCCATAATCCCAGCTACTTGGGAGGCTGAAGCACGAGAATCGCTTGAACCCAGGAGACAGAGGTTGCAGTCAGCTGAGATCGTGCCACTGCACTCCAGCCTGGGTGACAGAGCGAGACTCCATCTCAAAAATAAATAAACAAATAAATAAAAAGTGTAAATTTAGGACAGAAATGCAAACCATGATATTTTCATTTTGCATTGTTTTCTCATTTATCGTTATTATAAATGTATTAGTTGAGCTTTTACACTTTTTCACTGAAATCAAATAATGTTTGAAAAATAAATTTTTCTATTTCTAGTTCCACCACCCCATGTTACTCCTCTAAGGAAAACCGATACTATTTCATAAACTATTTCAGTACGAAATTTAATTTCTAAAATTTCAGATGTCACTATTTCATAAAAAAAAATCTATTTTATTAATGAGACTCTAGAAACAGTTTATTAGATGCAAAACTTATTTGTACACATTTACATAGATTAAGGTACATAAGCAAACAAATACAAATTGTCTGGAGCTATTTTTCTAACACCTAGTAACGTGCCTGAGGATTTATTTCACCTTCTTACACATAAAGTGTTTAACATTAATAATTAATTGATAGTAAACACAAGATCTATTTGTATGGTGCCATATTAGAAAATTAAAGGAGGCCGGGCACAGTGGCTTAAGCCTGTAGTCCCAGTGCTATGGGAGGCCTAGGCGGAAGGACCACTTGGGCCAGGAGTTTGAGACCAGCCTGGTCAACATAGTGAGACCCCATCTCTACCAAAAATGTAAATAAAAAAAGGAGATCACCTAGAAGTGATCTTCGTAATTTCCTTCAGAAAACGCACCTCTGTTTAAACCATAAAATCTTATTTAAAATGTTACAGCTTTCATAAATGTTTTATTTTCAGTAGCACTGCTTTTGCTCTGCTATTTTTTGTTTTTGTAGGTATTTTTATGTAGGATCCTGTTTGATGCCTATGGTAGGACAAAAGTACAGCTGCTTTTTTTTTTTTCACCAAACTCCTACTCATCCTTAAAGACCCAGCTCAGATTCTCCATCTTTTCAGAATATACTCAAGGTCAGGGACTTTTGTTGTGCAATGGATCCTTTTGGCAGGCATAAAATAATACTTTTAAAAGCAGGAAATAAATATATTACAAAGGAAATAGTTACATTGAAATATAGTGATCAGAATATTTTTTAAGAATTGATATATACGTGGGAGAATATGCATGGGAAAAATTGATACAGTAATATATGTCTTTATTAAATAACATTAAATGATAAGATCTACCAGTTGGTCTAATAACTACTAAATTTTGAAGCAATCATGAGAGTAAGTGATCTTTTAAAAAATATCTGCCACAAGTGTAAAGTAATAGGAAAATATCTTTGATTTCCATTGGTGACAAAATGCTGTAAATCTTATCCTAGTTTGTTGCCTGAATTTATGAGTAAAGACAATGTTGAATTTTGATAAGAGATTAGTGAAAATAACAATTCACCTTCCTCATCTGTCTCAGTTAGCTATTGCTGCATACCGTACATCTTGGAAGTTTTTGCTCACAAATTTTAAAATAATCATTTGTTTTGTTCCTCCCCACTTTGAAATCTGTGACTTGAAGGAGTTCAGGTGTGGTTGTCTCTGCTGTGCACATGTGGCCTGCGTGAATCCAGATGGCAAGTTCTATGGTGGGGGATGCTAAGATCTTGCTCTTTACCTCACCCAGGCCAGGCCACACTGTCCTTTGAGCCCATGTTAGCATGGGGCAGAGGGTGTCCCTTGCCTTCCCCTGAACTTAAGCCTTGTCCTGTTCATGGAGGTGAAACTGCTGGGCCTGGGTGGCTAGATGGACACATCTAAGCTTGCCCAGTGTGGCATCCGTTTTTTGGTGGGGAGGGGTAGATGTGGTATATTGTCACCAAAGATGGCTGCCAGTAATGCTTCCCATCCTTATTCATGTATGCCGCTTCTCCCATGAAGAGGTGGAGTCTATTTCCTCTTTCTCTGAGTCTAGGCTGGCCCATGACATGCTCTGGTAAATAAGTGCAATGATGTTGTATCAGTAGTTCTGGGATTAGCTTTTAAGAGGCCTTGCAGGTTCTGTTTTCACTCTCTTGGAAGCCAGTCATCACCTGAGAAGTCTAACCCTGTTGGGAACAGGGGTCCAGCCAGACCCTAGCCATTCCAGCTACCTCCACCCAGGTGCCGATAATCTGAGTTGAGCCATCTTGGATGTTTCAGCCTCAGCCAGCTCCCAACTGAATGCAGTCACATGGGTGACCACAGCTGACAACACATGAATCAGAACAACAAAGCTCAGCAAAGCCGACCCACAGAACTGTACCAAGTATCACCTTAATGTTTTAAGCCACTGTGCTTTGGGGAGTTTTTATGCAGCAATAGGTAACTGAAACAGGTAACAACTTTATACTGGAGATTTATGTGACTTTACCTTGCATATATTTGTATTTTCTGCTAGTAAATTGTACATACTTCATATGATGAAATTATGTCATTATAGATGGTATAGATATGGTCAGGAGCTAGTCTGAACAAGTTTGAGAGCCATTGGTTAGGTTTAGAGAGTATGGCATTTGAGTTATCTCAGTATTTCAAAATATGTGGGGTTTTTTGTTTGTTTGTTTGTTTGTTTTAGACATAGTTTCGCTTTTGTCGCCCAGGCTGGAGTGCAGTGGTGTGATCTCACTCACCACAACCTCTGCCTCCCGGGTTCAAGTGATTCTCCTGCTTCAGCCTCCCAAGTAACTGGGATTACAGGCATCTGCCACCACGCCCGGCTAATTTTTTGTGTTTTTAGGAGAGACAGGGCTTTACCATGATGGCCAGGCTGGTCTTGAACTCCTGACCTCAAGTGATCCACCGGCCTCGGCCTCCCAAAGTGCTGGGATTATAGGCATGAGTTTTTTTTTTTTTTTTTTTTTTTTTTTTTTTTATCTGAGACAGGGTCCCACTGTGTTGCCCAGACTGGAGTGGCATGGTGCAATCCTAGCTCACTGGAGCCGTGAACTCCTAGACTCAAATGATCTTCTTGCCTCAGCCTCCTGAGTAGCTGGGACTATAGGTGCACACCACCATGGCTGACTAATGTTTAAATATTTTGTAGAGATGGGGTCTCGCTGTGTTGCCCAGGCTGGTCTCAAACTCCTGGCCTCAAGGGATCCTCCAGCCTTGGCTTCCTGAAGTGAGCTGCCACACCTGGCCAGTTTATTTTTAGTAGTAGTATATCAGATGCAGTAACTGTACGTAAAGGGTAGTTAGTGCTTGTGCCAGGCAATAAAGTAGATGGCTTATTTAATCTTTATAAATAACCTCATTTGAGAGGGCTTTATAGATGAGGTAATTTAGGTTGAGATATAAATTCAGCTGCCTGAAGTCACATAGCTAGTAAGTAATGCAGCCAGGAGTTGAACCCTGGTTTGTGTTTGTATTGCCTCCATCCCTGTTCCCCCATCCCCACCCCTGGTTTTAAGAACATGTACGTTAACTAGGATTTTTTAGGAGAAAGCAAGTTTATTAAGAAAGTAAAGGGGCCAGGCATAGTGGCTCACACTTTAATTCCAGCACTGTGGGAGGCCAAGGCAGGTAGATACCCTGAGGTCAAGAGTTCGAGACCAGCCAGGCCAACATGGTGAGACCTTTTCTCTAGTAAAAATACAAAAATTAGGCCAGGTACAGTGGCTCACGCCTGTAATCCCAGCACTTTGGGAGGCCGAGGCAGGTGGATCATGAGGTCAGGAGATCGAGACCATCCTATCTAACACAGTGAAACCCCGTCTCTACTAAAAATACAAAAAATTAGCCAGGCGTGGTGGCGGGTGCTTGTAGTTCCAGCTACTTGGGAGGCTGAGGCAGGAGAATGGCGTGAACCCGGGAGTTGGAGATTGCAGTGAACCGAGATCGTGCCACTGCACTCCAGCCTGCGTGACAGAGTGAGACTCTGTCTCAAACAAAAACAAAAACAAAAAAAACAGAAACAAAAATTAGCCGGGCGTGGTGTTGCACGCCTGTAATCCCAGCTACTCAGGAGGCTGAGGCAGGAGAATTGCTTCAACCCGGGAGGCTGAGGCAGGAGAATTGCTTCAACCCGGGAGGCTGAGGTTGCAGTGAGCCAAGATCACCCCACTGCACTCCAGCCTGGGCAACAGAGGGAGACTCTATCTCCAAAAAAAATTATAATAAAGGAATAACGAATGGCTACTCCATAGGCAGAACAGTCCCGAGGACTGCTGGGTGCCCATTTTTATGGTTATTTCTTGAGTATATGCTAAACAAGGGGTGGATTATTCATGCCTCCCCTTTTAAGACCATGTAGGGTAATTTCCTGACGTTGCCATGGCATTTGTAAACTGTCATGGTGCTGGTGGGAGTGTAGCAGTGAGGATGACCAGAGGTCACTCTCATCTCCATCTTGGTTTTGGTGGGTTTTAGCCAGCTTCTTTACTGCATGCTGTTTCATCAGCAAGGTCTTTAATGACCTGTATCTTGTACCGACCTCCTAGTTCATCCTGAGACTTAGAATGCCTAACAGTCTGGAATGCAGCCTGGTAGGTCTCAGCCTTATTTTACCCAGCTCCTATTCAAGATGGAGTTGCTCTGGTTCAAACGTCTCTGACATATTTCCCCCCTCCCTTTTACGAGAGAACCCTTAATCCTAAGGGCTGCAGAGGGATGAAGATCCACTTTCTGTAACTTCTTTATGCTGAACAGGGGTGATGATATTCCTGCCTAACTGTTGGGTCTCTTGCATTCAGGGTAGAGGAGCTCAGTTCGAAAGCGTTGGTATGGCGAAGGCCATTCATAACTCTTGAGTTCCGACAAAAGGTATATCTGGAAGATTAATAAGTGTTCAGTTTAAGAAAACATTTAGTAAGCTTATCCTGCATTCCTACACAAAGAGTATAATCACAGCAATATATTCCACAACAGTAAAATAAAAAAAATAAAATTATCCCAAGTAAACTGAATTAGAAAGTTTTCCATGAACTGGGCAATTGTTTAAATCAAGCTAATAAGGAGTCACTAGCCAATTCCAATATGTGCCCAGAATTAGAATAACATTACCCATCACTCTTGTTTCTTCTGAGCAGCAGCCAGAGATCACTGGTTGGTTCACAGGAATAAGTGGGATCATTCTCTTGTCTTCCATAGGTCTGTGGGACACAGGTCAGGAACTGTGTAGACAAGGAGTGAGGCCAGTTTTCCCAAGCGGCTTTTATTGGCTCTATAAGTCAAGTTTGATTCCATAAAGGAACACACACCATTCCAGTTGAAGCCTTGGTAAAATAAGCAGTTTCTCCACTTGTGTCCCAAGGTCACCCAGTCAGTGCTGCAGACTATTTCCTTTGGGTTGGGGGGCGGGTCCCCTCAGTGTCCTCCTTTCTGTGGTTCGCCAGAAAGATGTTACCAGAAAGGGGTCCTGATCCAGGCCCCAAGAGAGGGTTCTAGGATCTTGCAAAGGAAAGAATTTGAGGGGAATCCATAGAGTAAAGTGAAAGCAAGTTTATTAAGAAAGTAAAGGAATAATAAAGAATGGCTACTCCATAGGCAGAGCAGCCAGTAAACTAGGCTTGTAATTTAAGAGACATGTTTAACTTACAGAAACAAATCACTGATGTGTGTGTATAAGCCATGAGAGAGATATGGGACTTAATTTTGCTACAAAAGAGGATTTAATTTCCTGCATAATCAGCTTCCCCCTATTCCACTGAATTAATTTCATCAACATACAAGGTGGATATTTTCTCCTGTCTTAAGCAATCTCCCTCCTTTGACCCCTGTGCCCCTTCAGGACAAGGGTAGGCTGTGCTCACTTGCCTCCCAGTCTTTGGAACTCACCCTCGCTGGGCTTTGCCCTATTGCCCCACCCAGACTGCTCGTAGGAAAGGTTATGTTCATGTTGCTGGATTCAGTGGCAAGGCCTCAGCTGTTACCTTACCTGACCTGGTTTTAGCATTGGACATGGTTGTTGACTTTCTTCATTGGCTTCCAGGACACCACACTCTCCAAGTTTCCCTTCCCATCCCTTTCCCTTCCCATCCCTTTCCCTTCCCATCCCTTTCCCTTCCCATCCCTTTCCCTTCTCCTCCCCTTCCCCTCCCCTCCTTTCCCCTCCCCTCGTTTCCATCTGTCGCCCAGGCTAGAGTGCAATGATGTGATCTCAGCTCATTGCAAGCTTCACCTCCTGGGCTCAAGCAATTCTCTTGCCTCATACTTCCAAGTAGCGAAACTCCAGGTACCAGCAACCATGCCTGGCTAATTTTTGTATTTTTAATAGAGGCAGGGTTTCACCATGTTGACCAGGCTGGTCTCAAACTCCTGACTTTAGGTGATCTGCCCACCTCAGCCTCCCAAAATGCTAGGATCATAGGGGTGAGCTACCGCACCTGATCTCAAACTCCTGACTTTAGGTGATCTGCCCGCCTCAGCCTCCCAAAATGCTAGGATTATAGGGGTGAGCTACCGCACCCAGCCCACACTCTCTAAGTTTCTAACTCCCTCCTGGCCACTTCTTCCCAGGTTGGGGATTGGTTTTAACTTTTTGGGATCACAAGTTCCTTTTAGAGTCTGATCATCACTGTGAACCCACATCTTAGAGAAAACTGTACGTATGTTTATGTTAACAAAATTTATCACAAATATTAGTTTTCATCCTTTTCAATTATTATTATTATTATTTTTTTGAGATGGAGTTTTGCTCTTGTTGCCCAGGCTGGAGTGCAATGGCATGATCTTGGCTCACCGCAACCTCTGCCTCCCGGGTTCAAGTGATTCTCCTGCCTCAGCCTCCCCAGTAGCTGGGATTATAGGCATGTGCCACCACACCTGGCTAATTTTGTATTTTTAGTAGAGATGGGGTTTCTTCATGTTGGTCAGGCTGATCTCGAACTCCTGACCTTAGGTGATCCGCCCTTTTCAGCCTCCCAAAGTGCTGGGATTATAGGCATGAGCTACTGTGCCTGGCCAGAATTATGGTGACTTCTAAAAAGGTCTGATTTCTTTCTTTAAGAGTTAATGGTTGTTGCCTGGGCAACGTAGTGAGATGTTGTCTCTTAAAAAAAGTACGAAAAGTGTTAGCTGGACATGGTTGCTTGTACCTGTAGTCCTAGCTACGTGGGAGGCTGAAGAGGGAGCATTGCCTGAGCCCTGGGAATTGGAGGCTGCAGTTAGTTATGGTTGTGTCACTGCACTCTCACCGAGGTGACAGAGTGAGACCCCCTTTCTTTAAAAAAAAAAAAAAAAAATTAGGCGTGGTGGCTCACGCCTGTAATCCCAGCACTTTGGGAGGTCAAGGCGGGAGGATCACTTAAGGTCAGAAGTTCAAGACCAGCCTGGCCAACATGGTGAAACCCTGTCTCTCCTAAAAATAGAAAAATTAGCCTGGGTGTAGTGGCACATGCCTGTAGTCCCAGCTAATTGGGAGGCTGAGGCAGGAGAACTGCTTGAACCCAGGAGGTGGAGGTTGCAGTGAGTCAAGATTGCGCCACTGCACTCCATTCTGGGCAATAGAGTGAGATTCTGTCTCAAAAAAAAAAAAGAAAAAAAGTAATGATCGTAAGCTGAAATAGTGTTTATAATACAATTTTGATCAATTTATAGAGTTCACTGTTTCTTCTTTTTTTTTAAGTGACAAGGTCTCTCTCTGTTACCAAAATAAAAAATAAATAAGTAAATAAATAAATAAATGATTTTGTATATAATCCACCTACGATTTTTTTTTTTTTTTTTTTTTTTTAGATGGAGTCTTGCTCTGTCACCCAGGCTGGAGTGCAGTGGCATGATCTTGGCTCACTGCAACCTCCACTTCCCGAGTTCAAACAATTCTCCCGCCTTAGCCTCCCTAGTAGCTGGGACTACAGGTGTGCACCACCACGCTGGACTAATTTTTGTATTTTTAGTAGAGATGGGGGTTTCGCCATGTTGGCCAGGCTGGTCTTGAACTCCTGACCTCAGGTGGTCCTCCTGCCTTGGCCTCCCAAAGTGCTGGGATTACAGTCATGAGCCACCGTGCCTGGCCACCCCCATGGATTTAATACTTCTGTTTTTTCTAATGTGAATTGTCAGTTTCATATTACTTGTTAGTTTATTTAAAGGGATTTAACATGCTTGCATAAGATCATAACCCTTTATGGTCAATCATACTGATTATATATTATTTTAGTATGTGATATTCTCTTTTATGCTAATTTTGATTTTTTAGCATGTAGAAATTTTTGAAGACCTTCAGAAAATTGTATTTATGGCCTTTCTTGGTGGGTAATATTTTCTGTGTTTCATTTGCTCTTCTTTACCAGGCACCCGACAGGAGGATCCTTTATTCGTCCGAACAAGGTAAATTTTGGAACAGACTTTCTTACTGCAATTAAGAACCGCTATGTGTTAGAAGATGGACCAGAGGAAGATAGAAAAGAGCAAATTGTTACAATTGGAAATAAACCTGTGGAGACTATCGGTTTTGACTCTATTATGAAACAGCAAAGGTAAGTGGAGTTTATAACGGCAGAGCTGACTTTTATGGTTTTATTAAGGTTCAGAATTGAAATACCCATGACTGTATATGGATGCTCATGACTTTGCTCCTAAACTGGTTTATGGTTCCACAGAAACGGAATCAAAATCTGAGGAATCCAAGAATTATTTAGGGAAATTAAAATTCTTATGTTAGCACAGGATTGGTAGATTTATCCAGTTTGCAATTGAAATATTTATTGGCCCATTATTACTATTCACATCATATTATCTCGTGTTGACTAAGTAACCAAGGCTGACGTTTGGGTTCTTTTCTATTTCATGGTGATGATGGTAAGTTGGGAATGGAAACAGCAGTCTGAATTGTTCCCTATGCCGTGGAGCGTGCTGGTGCCGTCTGTTAATAGTAGGGAGTAGTTCTCACCTCGGGCTGCACATCTTCATCACCTGGGGAGCTGTGGAACATGCGGCATCCTTGGTCCCATCCCAGATCTGCTCAATCACAATTTTGGGATATGGGCTCTAATGCATTTTATTGTATTGTATTGTATTGTATTTTTATTTTTATACAGACAGGATCTTGCTATGTTGCCCAGGCTGGTCTTGAACTCTTGGGCTCAAGTGATCCTTGGCTTCCCAAAGCACTGGGGATTACAGGGATTAAGCACCCGGCCTTAAAATAATGCCCTTTAAAACTGCTGCACAAGAACATTCTCTTTTCTCTGAAACTGTATATTGTGACTTTGTACAAGGAGGCTTTCTAGTCATTCCAGTGAACTGCTTGAATCAAAGAGAGAGAAAGATAGTATTTACACAAAACCAGTCATGGCTGCACAAGAACTGGCCAGGCCTTGCAGCTTCCTACTGTGGTGAGTGACTTGGACGAGGCATCTGGGTAAGGACCCCTGGTGGCCACTGTGAGGATAAATTTGTGGCCACTTGGAGGCCTGCAATATATTTTCTTTCAGTCTCTAAAAGAATTAAGCTATAGTTCTGTCCAAAGTAAATTTCTTTACTATCTTTTGTTATTGTTGTTATTAATAAAAGTGCACATGGGGACAATGTGGAAAATAAATACATTTCTTGGTACATCTACTCTTTAGCATACATGGCCCCCATTAAAAAAAACTCAGAATAAATCAAGAGTTTTAGAAAAAGGAACAAATGGACTGTTCTTTATAAAACAAGATACCTTTATTGTTGAGAATTTAGAAATTACAGATTGAACAAAAAAGTATCATGATTAATGCCACCACTTAGATATAAGTATCGTAAACGGGCTGGGTGCGGTGGCTTATGCTTGTCATCTTAGCACTTTTGGAGGCCGAGGCAGTTGGATCACTTAAGGCCAGGAATTTGAGACTAGCCTGGCCAACATGGTGAAACCCTGTCTCTACTAAAAATACAAACAATTAGCTGGGTGTGGTGGTACGCACCTGTAGTCCCAGCTGCTTGGGAGGCTGAGGCAAGAGAATCGCTTGAACCTGGGAGGTGGACGTTGCAGTGAGCCGAGATCATGCCGCTGCACTCCAGCCTGGGTGACAGAATGAGACTCTGTCTCAAAAAAAAAAAAAAAAAAAGAAAAAAAAGACGTAACTATCATGAACAGTTTTTACTGTTTACCCTACTGATTTACTTGGATTTAAAGAACTACATGCTTCATAGGGTTAGAGTTCTTTGCTTTATTTTTTCCCATTTAAAATACAAATAGCCTGGGCAACATGGCAAAACCCTGTCTCTACAAAAAAAATAAATAAATAAATGCAAAAATTAGCTGGGTGTAGTGGTGCGTGCCTATAGTCCCAGCTATTTGGGAAGCTGAGGTGGGAAGATCACCTGAACCCAGAAGGTCAAGGCTGCAGTGAGACATGATTGCACCACTGCACTCCAGCCTAGGTGACATAGTGAGACCTTGTCTCAAATGACACACAAACCAAAAAAAAAACCCCAAATATTTACATATCTCTTACCCAAAGGAAGCATTTTTTAAATTGGTTAATCTCTTTCTGAGAATATTAACAAATTGCAAATGGATTTTCGTCCCCTAGTTTATGAACAGCTATGTAACTCATGAATTTTTCTGTAAATGACCCTACTACTTGAGTATCATTGCATTTAATCATTAGCTAGTGTCTTTCTTGATTGAAAAGGTAAAATTTTAGAGATTCTGGAGTAATCTCATATGTTGGCTGGAGATTAGTCAATTCAGAAATTATGAGACAGCTTGGTGGAATGCAGCCAGTGTTGGAGTTAGGCTGGGTTCAGCCGCCAGCTAAGGCACTTTTGGCTCTGACAGAAGTTAGAGATAGCTGCTTATTGTTTCTAAGCCTCAGTTTCCTCAGTTACAACATAAAACCTAAGATATAAGTGCTGTTGTGAATAACAAATGAGATCCTACAATTAATGATAGCTGTCAGTTAGGAGTTGAAACCTCTACTTTAAGCCATTGTCTTATCTCGTCAATAAAATCCAGCTGACCAGCTTTGAGATCGTACCACTAAGAAGAGACTTACTCAATAAAGGAATCAAAAACAAATTAAAAAATCCATTATGTATGGTTTCTCTTGGAGATGGCTTTGGCTCTGGAGTGATGCTTGGACTGAGATCTGAGTCCTCATGCTTAGTGCCAAGTTGACCTGGCAAAGAAGGCTATTTTAAATTTTAGGGGGAAGGAGCGACATCTGTCGGACACAGTGCAAACTACAGTTTGAAGTAGTTGCCTGTTTCATGAGATTCCTGTAGTTCTTTTCAATGATGTCATAAGCCTACAAAGCTGGCTTTTGGGCAATTGCCGCGATAAAACGCAAGTATTTATGTACATCTATCATGCATCAATAGAAATATTTGTTTTATAAAAAAGCAAGTATCTCTTAAATCAGTGTGGAACTGGAAATGGAGTTGGTGGCGTCCAGTCTGATTCCAGGGTTTGGGAAGTTGGGCAGTGCCCAGCAGACACTGAGTTGACAGGACATAAGTAATGATTAAGTTGTTTGGCCCTAACTACATACTTAATTGGAACTGTGAGGTATTTATTTTGGCCTAAGTACCATGAAAAAAATTACTGAAACCCTAAGGACCGTGTGGCCTGAGAAAGTTTGGGACCCTCTAACCTTGAATTCTGCTGCTGCCTTTTGTACCCTGGTTTTTCTTTCTTTTTTTTTGTTGTTGTTTCTTGTTTTTTGTTTTGAGACAGAGTTTCACTCTTGTTACCCAGGCTGGAGCGCAATGGTGTGATCTCGGCTCACTGCAACCTCCACCCTCCCGGGTTCAAGCGATTCCCCTGTCTCAGCCTCCTGAGTAGTCGGGATTACAGGTGCCCCCCACTATGCCAGGCTAATTTTTGTTATTTTTTTTAGTAGAGACAGGGTTTCACCATGTTGGCCAGGCTGGTCTCGAACTCCTGACCCCAGGTGATCCGCCCACCTTGGCCTCCCAAAGTGCTGGGATTACAGGCATAAGCCACTGCCCCCGGCCATGTATTTGTTCTTTTGTGACTGGCTTATTTCACCTAGCATAATACACTCAAGGTTCATCCACATTGCGGCATATGTCAGAATTTCCTTCCTTTTTTTTAAGTTCGCACAATATTGCATTGTATATGTGTGCCACGTTTTGTTTATCCTTTCATTTGTTGATGGACACTTGGGTTGCTTCCACCTCTTGACTACCAGGAATAATGCTGCTGTGAACTTGTGCATATACCGTGGCCTTTTAGAGATGTGAAGTCTGAGGCACAGAGGTGCTAATTCACTTCTCCAAAGCCAAAGGAGATGGTGGAATTGGGATTTGAACCCAGGTGGTCTGGTTCCAGATTCTGTGTTCTTAGACATTATGTATGCGGATTCTTTTCATGAATAGAAAGCACAAGATTCTCTACACTTAACAAATGGCTGCCGGAAGTATCTGGTCATGCTGAAGCTGGGTGCGCTCTCTAGGAAGTACCTTAGGGAGGCTTTTACATGTGAGTGCGAGAAGCACTCCATAGCATGTACTTCTGCGTGGTTGGGAACAATCTAAATGTCAGCAGAAGAGTATGTACATTCCTTGTGGTCTGTTCATATAACAAACGCTGTAAGGTGTGAAGATGAATGTCCTGGAGCTCCATGTGTCACCGTAGTGAAATCTCACCACTGAACAATAGACTGTTGAGGAAAAAGTCAGGTGCAGAAGGCTCTGCGGAGTAGAATACCATTTATATCAAGTTTCAGAATATTAAAAAATGCTGTAATTGTTTAGGGATATGGAAATATATGGTAAAAATATTAAGAAATGCTTAAGATTAAATAAACACCAAATGTAGTATAAGGCCCTGGGGAGGGCCGGGCGTGGTGGCTCACGCCTGTAATCCCGGCACTTTGGGAGGCGGAGGTGGGTGGATCACTTGAGGTCAGGAGTTCGAGACCAGTCTGGCCAACATGGTGAAACCCCGTCTCTACTAAAAACACAAAAATTAGCCAGGTGTGGTAGCAAGCGCCTGTAATCCCAGCTACTGGGGAGGCTGAGGCAGGAGAATCACCTGAACCTGGGAGGGAGAGGTCGCAGTGAGTCTAGATTGTGCCACTGCACTCCAGCCTGGGCAACACAACGAGACTCTGGCTAAAAAGCAAAAAGAAAAGTTTACCTCTGGGAGTAGAGGGAGAATTGTGTTTGGAGAGGGCCCCAGAGGACTTCAGTTGCATTTGTAATATTTGTAGTGCTCTTTTTCTTTTTTGTAATGCTTTATTTCTTAATTTGGGTGGTGGTTACTGGTATTTGTATATTATTTTTGGTACCCTTTTATATGTCTGAAATGTGTTTAATTTTTTAAAGGGCCAGTGGATAGCATACGTGCTTATGTATCCATGTGAACTCTGTTTTTCATGCAGTCAGCTGAGCAAGTTGCAAGAAGTTTCTCTGAGGAACTGTGCAGTAAGTTGTGCTGGTGAAAAAGGAGGAGTTGCTGAAGCATGTCCTAGTATCCTTTTCACCGAGAGCTTGTTATTGGAATCTGACTATGGATTTTATACCTGTGCCAGAGACTGCTAATTGCCTACCCATTGTCCAGTCTTGACAACTTCCTTCCTAATGCAGTTCAGTTTTGCTTGGTGTAGTTGGGGCCCAGATAAATTATTTACCTTCCCAGACCCCTTTGCTTGCAAGTTTGCCAGCATGTTCAGGTGGAAGTTTCTACACCGGGCTCCTTGAAAGGGGGCACACTTGGCCAGGCGCAGTGGCTCACGCCTGTAATCCTAGCATTTTGGGAGGCTGAGGCAGGTGGATCACGAGGTTAGGAGATCGAGACCATCCTGGCCAACATGGTGAAACCTGTCTCTACTAAAAATACAAAAATTAGCCGGGTGTGGTGGCGTGTGCCTGTAGTCCCAGCCACTCAGGAGGCTGAGGCAGGAGAATTGCTTGAACCCGCTAGGCGGAGGTTGCAGTGAGCTGAGATTGCGCCAGTGCACTCAGCCTGGAGACAGAACAAGACTTCATCTCAAAAAAAAAGAAAGGGGGCACACTTGTTTGGCCTCTGCCTTTTGCCTGTTGCTTTTACCCTTCCCCTGCCTTGAGCGGATGGAAAGCCCAGGGCTTTGGCAGCTGTCTTACAAGTGTGAAGAAAGCCATCCAGTACAGATTGGGAGAGCAGAGGAGAGGGAACCTGGGCTGCTGACTGTGTACTGGGAACCTAAGATGAATCTGCTTCAGCCCTGGTCTGTTTTCTCATGCAGTTCTTTTTTTTTTTTTTGAGATGGAGTCTTGCTCTGTTGCCTAGGCTGGAGTGCTGTGGTGTGATCTCAGCTCACTGTAACTTCTGCCTCCCAGGTTCAAGTGATTCTTCTGCCCTAGCCTCCCAAGTAGCTGGGATTACAGGTGCCCGCCACCATGTCTGGCTAATTTTTTTTTTTTTTTTTTTTTGAGACGGAGTCTCGCTCTGTTGCCAGGCTGCAGTGCAGTGGCGTGATCTCAGCTCACTGCAACCTCCGCCTCCCGGGTTCAAGCAATTCTCCTGCCTCAGCCTCCCAAGTAGCTGGGACTACAGGCGCCCGCCACCACGCCCAGCTAATTTTTGTATTTTTGGTAGAGACGGGGTTTCACCATGTTGGCCAGGATGGTCTTGATCTCTTGACCTGGTCATCCGCCCACCTTGGCCTCCCAGAGTGCTGGAATTACAGGCGTGAGCCACCACGCCTGGCCTCGTCTGGCTAATTTTTGTATTTTTAGTAGAGATGGGGTTTCGCCACATTGGCGAGGCTGGTCACGAACTCCTGACCTCAGGTGATTCCCCTGCCTCGGCCTCCCAAAGTGCTGAGATTATAGGTGTGAGCCACATACCTGGCCTCATGCAGTTATTTTTTAGTGGGAAAGACTCTGGTTCTGTTTCATGCAGCTGAATGCAGTTTGTTATAATACCCCAACAGAGGCTCTTTATGAAGTTTGGAATCTCTTTTCTCTACCTGCTCTTATTAGTGTTATTTTTGTCATATATTTCTTTTTTGCCTGTAAGCAAAAATGTTGGAGGTAGGTTAAAAGAAAATTTTAAGGATGGGCATGGTGGCTCATGCTGGTAATCTCAGCATGGTAATCTCAGCATTGGGAGGCTGAGACTGGAGGACTGTTTGAGACCAGCCTTGGCAACATTGCGAGACCTTGTCTCTATAAAAAATTAAACAAAGCAAAACAAAACTGGGTGTGGTGGCATGTGCCTGTCATCTCAGCTACTCGGGAGGCTGAGGTGGGAGGACTGCTTGAGCCCAGGAGTTTGAGGCTGTGATGAGCCATGATCATGCCACTGTACTTCAGCCTGGGAGACCCCGTTTCTATTAAGAAATTTCCCATGGAGGCTGGGCGCAGTGGCTCATGCCTGTAATCCCAGTACTTTGGGAGGCCGAGGTGGGCGGATCATCTGAGGTCAGGAGTTTGAGACCAACCTGGCCAACCTGGTGAAACTCCATCTCTACTAAAAATACAAAAATTAGCCAGGCATGGTGGTGCATGCCTGTAATCCCAGCTACTTGGGAGGCTGAGGCAGGGAGAATTGCTTGAACCCGGGAGGCGGAGGTTGCAGTGAGTGAGGTCATGCCATTGCACTCCAGCCTGGGTAACAGAGTGAGACTCTGTTTCAAAAAAAAAGAAAGAAATTTCCCATGGAAACCAAATAGACTTTCTTTAACTTTAAAAGGTCTTTCCCCAATTCATTAAGTCTGTCTGATCTGTACATAATAACTTTTGCAAAAAATAGCAGTTTTGATCAGTTTTTTTCTGAGTGAAGAGATGCCAGGTGAAGTAGCTCTCTTTGGCAAAATGCCCCGACAGTGCAGTGAAGGAAATTAGATCAGACATCTCTCCATCTGTGTGTCTGAGGGTTCACTTCCCTTGGGGGAAACAGTCTGGGGGTCTGTTGGGACCTGTGGTAGCTGCACAGGTCTCTGCCTGTCTCTGCCAGTCTCTGCCCCTGAGCAGCCTCCTCCGTTGACCCCAGCGTGCTGCAAATATGAGGTCATTTTCAAAAGTAGGCAGCTGGAGTGAGGGGAATTGAAGTGGATGCAGAAAAGAGTTTGCTGAGGAGCCAGTGCCACAGCAGTGTCAGAGCATTCTGCATTCTGCCTGGCCTATTCCTAAACTATTTCAGAAGATTGGTAATCGGGCTGTGTACAGTGGCTCATGCCTGTAATCCCAGCACTCTGGGAGGCCAAGGCGGGTGGATCACCTGAGGTCAGGAGTTCAAGACCAGCCTGGCCAACATGGTGAAACCTTGTCTGTACTAAAAATACAAAAAATTAACTGGGTATGGTTACGGACGCCTCTAATCCCAGCTACTCAGGAGGAGGCTGAGGCAGGATAATCACTTGAACCCGGGAGGCAGAGATTGCAGTGAGCCGAGATCACACCACTGTGCTCTAGCCTGGGTGACAGAGCAGGACTCCATCTCAAAAAAAAAAACCAAAAAACAAAAAACGGGGGGGCCAGGTGTGGTGGCTCACGCCTGTAATTCCAGCACTTTGGGAGGCTGAGGCAGGTGGATCACCTAAGGTCAGGAGTTCGAGACCAGCCTGGCCAACGCGGTGAAACCCCATCTCTACTAAAGTACAAAAATTAGCCAGGCATGGTGGTGGGCGCCTGTAGTCCCAGCTACTTGGGAAGCTGAGGCAGGAGAATCGCTTGAACCTGGGAGGCAGAGGTTGCAGTGAGCCGAGATCGCGCCATTGCACTCCAGCCTGGGCGACAAGAGCGAGACTCCGTCTCAAAAAAAAGGACAGATGTGGCGGTAAATGGGTTTGGGAGTGCTGGCTGTTGGGTTGCTCAGAGCTGTCAGCAGTGTCCTGAAGAATCAGCATGTTGTTTGTTTATACTGCACTTTTCTGGAGAAAAATGTCCCCCAGGACACGAAGAAATGAGGTTTCACGAAGATAATCAAGTCATGATTGGTATTTGCAGATACAGTGATAAATGTCTTGCAGCTCCCGATTGAATTCTCGCCAGAAGTTGAAGTATTGCTTTGGGTGCTTAATCCAGTCATCCTTTTTTGGGTTGGTCTGTCTTTGAGGTTATTTACTCTACCAGAACTCGAGGCAGTGGGAGAGCTGCAGACCCGGGTGTGTCAAATCTGAGGGTACTTCCAGGGGAGGGGATGAGCTTCCTCCTCCCTCATGACCTGCGGAGGAGAGTCTGTGCCCAGGTGCTTGGCCTGTGCTTTCACGGGGGCTCCTTGAATGGTGTGTGTGGGAGGGGCGACCACATATTGACAGCTGTTGTTCGTGGTTGATTTCAGGATGTAGGTGGTCTGTGTGCTCTGTACAGACCTTAGAAACAATAACTCTAGGCTACATAATGGGAAGCAGCAGTGAGGGAAGCGTGATTGGACTTAAACCCTTCCTCAGCAGCCTAACAGCCGATTTAGCGGGGTTAATGGAAACACAGGGTGGCCAAAGTGTCACCCAGAGGCCGGGAAAGCACCCCTCGCATGAGCCTGTGTTAGGCGGTGTCAGGAAGCTAGGGCAGCCGAGAGGAGGCTGAGGAGGAGGGGCAGAGGAGCAGTTTACAGAAGCCATCATGCAGGTGTGGGCCCAAGGGCAGAGGAGGAGCGCGAGGGGACCTGGAGGGTGTTTGCCCGGTCTGGAATTTTCGGCAGCCTGCACCGACTCTTTTCCCTTCCATTTGATGCGACGGCCACGGCAAAATTGAGGCTATTCTGCAGGTACTCATATTACCGATTGAAATGCAACTGTTTACGAGGGTAGACCCCATTGTTAGCTCTTGGGCTGTAATAGTCCAGGCAGCTGGCAGGATTCGGGCATGGGTAGCTGGCGACCGGGTATGGAGTCATCCCTTTCTTCGCATCTTCTCTGCCGTCCTTCCCTTGTTCCTGACCTTCTTGCAGAGCTTCCTAATTGGTTCCTGCCTAAAATTATTTCCTTTCTAACCAATGCTTTGGAGTGATGCCACTGTTTTTGTAAAGAAACTTTCTCCACGTTTTATGTATGTTTGATGACTCCCTGTTGCATTATGGGGTGCAATGATATGGATTTTGGATCGAGGATGACTTGGGTGTAACTTCCCACTTGTTCATTTGCACACAATGACACAGCTCTGTGACTGCTGTGCCACCGTTTGTTCTGCTATGAGAAAGCAAAACAACCCAGCAATCAGCATAGTGCCTGGGTCTGGTTAGCAGTGGCAGCAGCAGTGCGGGTGGTGGCTGTCACTGCTGCTGTTGTTATTACTGGATCTTAGAGCTCTTTTTTTTTTTTTTTTTTTTGGAGATGGAGTCTTGCTCTTTCACTGGGCTGGAGTGCAGTGGCGCGATCTTGGCTCACCGCAACCTTCTGGCACCCAGGTTCAAGCGATTCTTCTGCCTCAGCCCCCTGAGTAGCTGGGACCACAGATACGTGCCACCACGCTTGGCTGATTTTGTTTTTGTTTTTTTTTTTTCTTTTTTTGAGATAGAGTTTCGTTCTTGTTGCCCAGGCTGGAGTGCAATGGCATGATCTTGGCTCACTGTTACCTCCGCCTCCCAGGTTCAAGCGATTCTCCTGCCTCAGCTTCCCGAGTAGCTGGGATTACAGACATGTGCCACCATGCCTGGCTAATTTTGTATTTTTAGTAGGGATGGGGTTTCTCCATGTTGGTCAGGCTGGTCTCGAACCCCCGACCTCAGGTGATCCGCCCGCCTCGGCCACCCAACGTGCTGGGATTATAGGTATGAGCCACAGTTCCCGGTCCAATTTTTGTATCTTTAGTAGAGACAGGGTTTCACCGTGTTGGCCAGGCTGGTCTCGAACTCCTGACCTCAGGTGATCCGCCCACTTTGGCCTCTCAAAGTGCTGGGATTACAGGCGTGAGCCGCCGCGCCTGGCCTGGATCTTGGAGCTCTTCTTCTGTCGCTGGCCACTCCTCAGTCGCTTCTGTGGGACCTTTCTCTGGTTGCAGACTGTTGGGTGTACCCCAAGGCTCAGACTTGGGAGCCCTGGGCTTCTTGAGAGACCTTCTGGGGTGTGGCTGGCACTCCTCCACGGCCTGCCCTCTTCCACATCTGTCTCTCCAGCTGCAGCTTTGATACCTCTGTCTGGATGTCTCATAGCCATCATAGATTTAGCATGTCCAAAACTAAGACCCACGCCTGCTCATCCTGTAGTCTTTTCCCTCTTAATAAATGACAGTTCCATTTGCACAGGCCACAGATCTTGGAGTTGTCCTTGACACTCCCTTTCTCCCATGCCCCACACCTAAATCCATTGGCAAATCCTGTGAGCCCCACTTCCAGAGTCAGACGCCCCCTCTGACATGTTCTGCCCTCTCATGCTGCTGGTTTGCTCCGGCCTCCTGGAGACTCCCGGCCCTCCTTTATTTCCCTGCAATTGTGCTCAACTCAGAAGCACAGTGACTTTTACTGGATTTTTTTGTTGTTGTTGTTTTGTTTTTTGACATAATATAGATCAAAGTCAAAGCAGAGTGATTTTTAAAGGACCCAGGTCACCTGTCGCTGTTTCAAAGCCTCCAATATCTCCCGTTTCAAGCAAACTTTGAAAAGTCCGTTTCAAACAGACTTTGAAGTGGCCTGCAAGGCCCTTTGTGATGTGGCCTGGCCCCTTATTCCTTGTGACCTTGTTTCTAGTACCCCCAAGCCCCTCTGCTCGAGTCACACAGGCGCTGGCGGTCCCGGTCATAGGCTGAGCTCGTTCCCACCCCAGGGCCTTTTGCTCTTGTCACTCCTCCGCCATGTGCTCCTCTCCCAGATGGCGTTCCCCCATTTCCCTCAGCTCTCTGCTCAGATGCCCTCTTAGAGGAGGTGGTCTTCCCTGGGCACTGCATATAGAACAGCCACACACCTTTCCTGCATGCCCTGCTCTGTCCCTGAGCACAGACAGGCCTGCCTGTGACACACTGTTGAGGCCCCTGTGTCGTGATCGTCTCTCCCCGATGACACTCTGCTTTGCTCACTGCGATGCTCCTGGCCCTAAATAATTACTTGCAGAATAGACGAGTGCATTGAATAATTTCCACACATACACATATTAGATGAGAGTGTAGCTCCTCCAGTAGCTGGCCCGGTCCTGCTGCAAGCTCCTCTGTCTTTCTCTGCGGGGACCTGGCTAAGCTGTGCCCCTTCCTGATGGTGCTGCACCTGCACCTAGCCCCTCACCTCCACTTGTGTTGTCTGTCGGCTTTGCTTTTCCAGCCCCACTGTGTTATCCTCTCTGAATCCCTGTATCAGGGGCAGTTGGAGTGATACTGTTACAACTGCTTCCAGGCTACCGGACACCCTCTCAATTCCTAAGTCATGCGCTTTTGCACATGTGTCCCAAGTTGACCCCTCTTCTCTGCCCTGTAGATGCTATTTATCTGGAGATTCCTATGGTAATGGTGCCCCATAGAAGGTCATGTGCTGGGGTGAGGCTTGTGTGTATACCTTAGGTGCTTCAGAAATCAAAGTTACCCTCACTGCTTTTCCCCTCTCCTTTTGTTGGATAGTGCTAGGATGGTTTAGCGTTATGACATTTGGTTCTTTGTCATTTGATTGTAGATGTTTGTCTCAAGTTTTGAGTATATAACAATGAACTTTTAATTTATTTTTAGTTTTTTGAGACAGTCTCACTCTGTCACCCAGGCTGGAGTGCAGTGGCGCAGTCTCCACTCACTGCAACCTCCGCCTCCCGGGCTCTAGAGTTTCTCTTGCCTTAACCTCCTGAGTAGCTGGAATTACGAGCGCGTGCCACCACACCTGGTTAATTTCTGTATTTTTAGTAGAATGGGGTTTTGCCATGTGGGCCAGGCTGGTCTTGAACTCCTGACCTCAAGTGATTCCCCCGACCTTGGCATCCCAAAGTGCCGGGATTACAGGCGTGAGCCACCGCGCCTGGCCTCACAATGAACTTTTTCGTTTCTCAGTGAAGTTTTGGATAACTTAAAAATATTATGTACTCCTGAAAAAATTTGAAGCTGACTAGAGGGTATAAAATGAAAAGTTAAAACGCTCATGCTCTGGAATTAAGAGTAACTCCTTTTATGTCTTTTGTGAATCTTTTGAAATTACTGTTTCTTAACATGTGCTTTTAGATATCAGAAAGGTAGATTTGTCAAAAAACCTGTTGTCATCATGGGATGAAGTGATACACATTGCTGATCAGCTCAGACACCTGGAAGTCCTTAATGTCAGGTATGAACTCTTGGTTGCTGAATCTTCATTAACAATAAAGCTCATCTCTCCTTGCTTCCTCACAGCATCTCTGTGGAAAGAGGTAGGGAGCCGGAAGGGTTAAGGCTGCCACCTGATGATACAGGAGTTAAGAAGGAATTACTCAGGCTGATAGTGAGGGTATGGAAGTCCTCAGTAAGGTTTTCCTTTTAATGAAAAGCAGCCCCAAATTATTTTCCTTTCTAACACAAGCAGCCTGTAAAATCGAGCTGCAGACATAGATGCAGACAGTTGAGCCAATCAGGTTCAAGATGGCAGCTCCATCTTCCCTTCTCTTTTCCAGCCACGTGTACAGTAAGGAGCAGACAAGATGGTGCCAGCCAAAGGGAAATTTCATTTACATAGTAAGATTAGGGTGGGGTGGCCAGCCTTTCCTGGCTGTGTAAATGTCATGCCTGATTGAACCAATCTGTGAGCATTAAGTAAATCAGACACTGCCTCCTCAAGTCAAACTAAAATCTGTGCATCTGGGCCGGGTGCAGTGGCTCACTCCTGTAATCCCAGCATTTTGGGAGTCTGAGGCAGGCGGATCACCTGAGGTAAGGAGTTTGAGACCAGCCTGACCAACATGGAGAAACCCCGTCTCTACTAAAAATACAAAATTAGCTGGGCGTGGTGGCATGCAACTGTAGTCCCAGCTACTCAGGAGGCTGAGACAAGATAATTGCTTGAACCCGGGAGGCAGAGGTTGCAGTGAGCTGAGATCGTGCCATTGCACTCCAGCCTGGGTGATAGAGCAAGACTCCGTCAAAAAAACAAACAAGGGCCAGGCGCAGTGGCTCACGCCTGGAATCCCAACACTTTGGGAGGCTGAGGCGGGCGGATCATGAGGTCAGGAGATCGAGACCATCATAGCTAACAAAGTGAAACCCCATCTCTACTAAAAATACAAAAAATTAGCCGGGCGTGGTGGTGGGCACCTGTAGTCCCAGCTCCTCGGGAGGCTGAGGCAGGAGAATGGCATGAACCTGGGAGGCGGAGCTTGCAGTGAGCCGAGATTGTGCCACTGCACTCCAGCCTGGGCGACAGAGCGAGACTCCATCTCAGAAAACAAACAAACAAACAAAAAATCTGCATCTGCTGCCAGCTTGCCTTTTTCTTCTTGGAAGTCCCCTCTCTCTTACTAGAGAGAGAGCTGTTTTCCATCTTCTTTCTCTTGCCTTTTAAACCTCTGCTCCTAAACTCCTCATGTGTCTGTGTCCTAAATTTTCCTGGTGGGAGAAGAGGAATACCAGGTGTATACCCCAGACAACGCAGCTGCTTCGCTAGTAGACATTTTTATACAGCCAGATTTTGGTTTACTTGAATTTATCTAACTTTAACTTTAAGGACACATTTAATCTTTAAGGACACTTTATTTATTTATTTATTTATTTATTTATTTATTTATTTGAGACAGTGTCTCGCCCTGTCGCCAGGCTGGAGTGCAGTGGCGTGATCTTGGCTCACTGCAACCTCTGCCTCCCGGGTTTGAGCGATTCTGCTGCCTCAGCCTCCTGAGTAGCTGGGACTACAGGCACGAGCCACCACGCCCAACTAATTTTTGTGTTTTTACTAGAGACGGGGTTTCACTATGTTGGCTAGGATAGTCTCAATCTCTTGACCTTGTGATCCGCCCACATCAGCCTCCCAAAGTGCTGGGATTACAGTGTGAGCCACTGTGCCCAGCCTTATGTATGTATGTATATATGTATGTGTGTATATATATATATATATATTTTTTTTTTTTTTTTTGAGACAGAGTCTCACTCTTGTCGCCCAGGCTGGAGTGCAATGGCGCGATCTCGGCTCACTGCAGCTTCCCCTTCCCGGGTTCAAGGGATTCTCCTGCCTCAGTCTCCTGAGTAGCTGGGACTATGGGTGCCCACCACCACTGCCAGCTACTTTTTGTATTTTTAGTAGATGCAGGGTTTCGCCATGTTGGCCAGGCTGTTCTTGAACTCCTGACCTCAGGTTTTCCACCCACCTCGGCCTCCCAAAGTGCTGGAATTACAGGTGTGAGCCACCATGTCCCGCCTCTTTAAGGACACTTTAATCTTTAAGGGCACATTGATTATTATAGCCTTGCAAACGGTCACATGAGGTGATTCATGAATAAGGAATGTGTTTTAACTTTTACCAGGTGGGGATGAGTTAGATTTTCATTGAACTGCAAGATCTTATTTTTAGCCTGACCGTAAAGATGGAAGGTTGGGGGAGGTGATATTTAATTGGGGAGTAGGAGAGGAGAGGTGATATTATTAAAACTGCTTGTTTATTTGAAAACTTCTAGCGTTTAATTGCTGTAGGAATGAGTAATTTCATTGGGATACTGTTTAATTCTGTTTTGATAAGGATTTTTCATTAATCTACCTATTTTACTAATGTCACACTTTTCTAGGCCTTCCTGAATATTTAATTTGTTTTAATCTCAGAACCTAACTTTCCAAGGGCTTAGCCAGGCTTCCTCCATTTTTTTTTTTTTTGAGGCAGAGTCTCACTCTGTTGCCCAGGCTGGAGTACAGTGGTATGATCTTGGCTCACTGCAACCTTTGCCTCCCAGATTCAAGTGATTCTCCTGCCTCAGCCTCCCAAGTAGCTGGGACTAGAGGTGCCTACCACCACACCCGGCTAATTTTTATATTTTTAGTAGAGACGGGGTTTCATCATGTTGGCCAGGCTAGTCTTGAACTCCTGACCTCAGGTGATCCATCTGCCTTGGCCTCCCAAAGTGCTGGGATTACAGGCGTGAGCTACCGTGCCCAGCACAGGTTTCCCCTTTCATTCTTGAACCATTTTTGCATAGACATGTACAGTAAAGCCGGTAGACAGGCCTGAATGAGTTGTGCTCCCAAATAGAGCAAACGGGGGCAATTCAACCCATGGTGTCTCATCTTCTGGAAATACGGGCTTGTGTTTTTTAATAGTATCGTCTTTCAAAGTGACTGTCAGGATTGAATACTTTCTGAGATTAGGGTTTTGAGAAATAATTTAAGGGGCAATAATTTCATCCATCCTCATAGCCAAAGGGCAGACTCTATGTTTAGAGAAGCAAAATTCTAGCCCATGATTCAGTGTATCAGTAAGACTCTGGAGAACGGGACTTTGTTTTGCAGTATCCAGAGCCATATCTTGTGAAGCTGGAAGCTCACCTTGCAAATGCCTGAGTTTTGGGTTTAGGAAGCCTACAGCCGCATACAGGTGCCCTAATCCTGTGAAAGCATCTTTACACAGCTGATACCAAAAAGTTGTATGTTGTAAATGTTAAAAATTAGGTAGTCTTGATTCACTTGAATCATTAAAAAAGTGATTTTTAAAATATAATTCCATTTTAAGATTGAAACAAATCAAACCCCTTAGATTAAAACCCAGATTGTTGCTTTCAACAACTATTTCAGTTGGGTTTACTGTATAGAAATAAGTACATTGTATCTTTTTTTTCTACACAGTGAAAATAAACTAAAATTTCCCTCCGGTTCAGTATTAACTGGAACGCTTTCTGTACTGAAGGTTTTAGTCCTCAATCAAACAGGAATAACGTGGGCTGAGGTAATCATATTTCTTTGTTTTATTACACATTAATAAGCAATTAAAAATGTTTGGTTTAATAGGGAATTGTTAGTACAGTTTAATAGTACAACTGTGGCTTCATTTAAATCATCCCAGTATCTATTAATAGGTAACAAGATTCATTAAAGTGCCTTATAAAAACGAGTTAAAAGAGCATCATAGTTGAGTTTTGCATCTGGAAATCCATGTCCTATCTCAGCTCATTTTGACTTGTTCTGGTGCCTTTATAAACAGTGGCGCTCCGTTATGGTATGAACCAGTATGTGCTGAGCTTCAAAAAGCCGTAGTGTTGGCTATTGACTAGCTTCCTGAGTTTTCCTGTTAGTTTTTTTTAGAACAGAAGCCAAGCAGCAGAAAGGTTCTCACATACTTTTCTTGTTAGAAGTTCGGCTCTTGGAATCCACTGTTCATTTTATACAGCCGGGCTCAAAAGTAGACTTGTGGGTCCTTGGCACAGCAGCATTTGGGACTTATATCTGGCAGTACTATTTCCTGTCTGAGGTGTACTGACTTCACACACCCAGAGCATTCCACTTTCTTTTTTTTTTTTTTTGAGACGGAGTTTTACTCTTGTTGCCCAGGCTAGAGTGCAATGGTGCAACCTTGGCTCACTGCAACCTTTGCCTCCCAGGTTCAAGCGATTCTCCCACCTCAGCCTCCCAAGTAGCTGGGATTACAGGCATGTGCCATCACACCCAGCTAATTTTGCATTTTTAGTAGAGACATGGTTTCTCCATGTTGGTCAGGCTGGTCTCGAACTCCTGACCTCAAGTGATTTGCCCGCCTCGGCCTCCCAAAGTGCTGGGATTAGAGGTGTAAGCCACCGTGCCCAGCCCACTTTCATTTTTATTTATTTATTTTTCTTGAGACAGAGTCTCACTCTGTTGCCCAAGGTGGAGTGCAGTGGCGCAATCTCGGCTCACTGCAACCTCCGCCTCCCAGGTTCAAGTGATTCTTCCGCGTCAGCCTCTCAGGTAGCTGGGATTACAGGCATGTACCACCATGCCCAGCTAATTTTGTATCTTTAGTAGAGACAGAGTTTCTCCATGTTGGTCAGGCTGGTCTCGAACTCCTGACTTCAGGTGATCCACCCACCTCGGCCTGCTAAAGTCCTGGGATTACAGGCGTGAGCCACCGTGCCCAGCCCACTTTCATTTTTATTTATTTATTTTTCTTGAGACAGAGTCTCGCTCTGTTGCCCAAGTTGGAGTGCAGTGGCATGATCTCGGCTCACTGCAACCTCCGTCTCCTGGGTTCAAGCAATTCTCCAGCCTCAGCCTCCAAAGTAGCTGGGATTACAGGCGCTTGCCACCATGCCCAGCTTATTTTTGTATTTTTAGTAGGGACAGGGTTTCACCATGTTGGCCAGGATGGTCTTGAACTCCTGACCTCAAATGATCTGCCTGTCTCAGCCTCCCAAAATGCTGGGATTACAGGCGTGAGCCACTGTGCCCAGCTTGGGCATTCCACTTTCAAACCAAGGGTGTAGAAATACATTCCCAGCCATGTTCACCCAGGAAGTGCCACAGAGGCCACTCAGTGAGAGACAGGTGGGCCCCTTGTGCCCTTAATATGCCCGTGGCCATGGAGCCTCTTTCCTAGGGCCCCTCCTCTGTGAGGCGCTTACTCCCTCTCAAGGTGTAGATGTAGCTGGAAGACAAGAAGGGGCCAGACACTGGCACTGGGGCTCACACCTGCAATCCCAGCGCTTTGGGAGGCTGAGGTGGGAGGATCACTTGAGCCCAGGAGTTTGAGGCTGCAGTGAGCTAGGATTGCACCTTTGCACTCCAGCCTGGGTGACAGAGCAAGACGCATCTCACCCTCCAAATAAACTAGGAAGGGCACACAGAAATTGAAGTGGTGGAGATGGCAGTAAAGTTCCAGTGAGAAAATTTAGAAATAGTTGGTGAGGCTGGTCATGGTGGCTCTCGCCTATAATTCCAGCCAGCACTTTGAGAGGCCCAGGCAGGAGAATCACTTGAGGCCAGGAGTTCAAGACCCACCTAGGCAACATAGAGAGATCCTGTAGATGCTATATATATATTATATATTATTATACATAATTATATAATATATAATAATTTTTTGTAATTTTTTTTTTTGTAAAAAAAAAAAATTAGGCTCATGCGCAGTGTGGTGGCAGCAGGCACGGTCTCGACATGCAGAAAGACGCCAGCAAGTTCGTGGATCTGTGCGTGCTGCAGAAATGCTCCACCAGCAACTGCATCATCAGTGCCAAGGACCACACATCCATGCGGATGAACGTGGCCAAGGCCAGTGAGGTCACGGGCAGGTTTAACAGCCAGTTTAAAACCTGTGCTATCTGCAGGACTGTTTGCAGGATGGGTGAGTCAGATGATTCCATTCTCTAATTGGCCATGGCCAAGGGCGTCATCTCAACTATTTGGTTTTTGAGATGGAGTCTTGCTCTGTTGCCTAGGCTGGAGTGCAGTGGTGTGATATTGGCTCACTGCAACCTCTGCCTCCTGGGCCAAAATGATTCTCCTGCGTCAGCCTCCCAAGTAGCTGGGATTACAGACGTGCACTACCACGCCTGGCTAATTTTTTGTATTTTTAGTAGAGATGGGTTTTCACCACGTTGGCCAGGCTGTTCTCAAACTCCCGACCTCAAGCATTCTGTCTGCCTCAGCCTCCCAAAGTGCTGGGATTACAGGCGTGTGCAACCATACCCGGCCATTTTTGTATTTTTAGTGGTAATGGGTTTCATCATGTTGGCCAGGCTGGTCTCCAACTCCTGACCTCAAGTGATCCACCTGCCTTGGCCTCCCAAAGTGCTGGGATTACAGGCATGAACTCACTGTGCCCGATCTCAAAGAACTTTTGATTGGAGAGAATCATGGATGTAGAATATTTGTCATAAATATATAATGAAAACTTTAAAAAATGTATAATTAAAAAAATAATGAAAGAAGAAATAATTGTTGAGAAATTTATGAAAGGATATGAAAAATTAGCATATCCTTTACAAACCCAGATTGGCATTTAGAATTGAGGAAAGGTGTGTAACATCAATTTACTTATTTTGGTTAAGCAAATTCTATCAAATAATAATATGTGCAGTTAGTATCTCCTGTTCCACCTCGTAGCTGCTTTACCTAAACCATGCATTGACACGTACCTCCAAGGCCTCAAAGTGCCCACAGTGTGTGCTCCCACAGCATTAAAATGCACCCCCTTAACATTTTATTTATCACCCCCCACCACTATTCCAGGCCTGAAACAGTCTTATGAACTGTCCGTGAGGCACTTGTTTGCTGAAACAGTAACTGAGCTGAATTCTTGTGGTGGTTCCTATGAACACCCGGGAAGAAACAGCCAGCAGAGGCCGCCTGAGCCTGAACCGAGTTTCTCTTCCAGGTGCTGCGGTGTGTCGCGGGGTGCCCAGGCCTGGAGGAACTCTACCTTGAGTCTAACAACATTTTCATTTCCGAAAGGTAACTAGCACTTACTTAAATGCATCTATCCCCATTTAATCATCATTCTGAGTAAATAAATGGTCTCAATTATATCTAACCTTAATTTTTAGAAGGATTTGCAAACAAGAATTAGGAAAAATGCTTATTATTCATTGCCTTCACAAATTAGAATTTCACTAATTGGTTCTAATCAAAGGAAACTCATCAGAATTAAATATTTGTGAAGACATGAGTTATATTAGTTTTGCATCAGTGTATTAACTTGCTGTTTCTTTTTTTTCTTTTTCTTTTTTTGAGACAGAGTCTCACTCTGTCGCCCAGGCTGGAGTGCAGTGGCGATCTTGGCTCACTGTAACCTCCGCCTCCTGAGTTCAAGCGATTCTTCTGCCTCAGCCTCCCGAGTAGCTGGGATTATAGGTGCCTGCCACCATGCCCGGCTAATTTTCTTTATTTTTAGTAGAGACGGGGTTTCACCATCTTTTACGGGGTTTCACCATCTTGGCCAGGCTGGTCTCGAACTCCTGACCTTGTGAGCCACTGTGCCTGGCCAACTTGCTGTTTCTAAATGGAAGTTCTGTAGGATATGCTATAAGGATTAAATAATGTATTTTTCATTAGCATCATCTGTTTAAGGTCATTGTACCAAAGTACATGTAAAACTTTGTTCTCTGAAATATATTGTTGCCTCATCTCCTTTTTAAATTAATAATATTAAATTACTATGTAAAATTAACCTAACTGTGGGAAAATTTACAACAGATTCTGAATTAAAGGATTCAGAATCTTAAAGATTTTCGTTTACAGAAGGGTTTCATTATGTAGGCAAATGCAGGTTTTTTGTTTTGTTTTTTTTTTGAGATAGAGTTTCATTCTTGTCACCCAGGCTAGAGTGCAATGGCACCATCTCGGCTCACTGCAACCTCCACCTCCCTGGTTCAAGTGATTCTCCTGCCTCAGCCTCCCATGTAGCTGGGACTACAGGCACGTGCCACCATGCCTGGCTAATTTTTGTATTTTTAGTAGAGACGGGGTTTCACCATGTTGGCCCGGCTGGTCTTGAACTCCTGACCTCAGATGATCCACCCGCCTCGGCCTCCCGAAGTGCTGGGATTACAGGTGTGAGCCACCGTGCCTGGCCTGCAGGTTTTTTAAATTAAATTTTTTTATTTTGAGATAATCATATATTCACATGAAGTTTTATAAGAAATGATACACAGAGATCACTTGTACCCATGACCCAGGTTCCCCCATTGGTAACAAGTTGCAAAACTATGATATAGGATCACAGGCTAGGTGTGACACTGATACCGGCAGGAATATGTGCATCACCACAGGGACCACTCAGGTTGCCCCTTTACAGTCATATTTACTTGCTTCTTATCCCCAGCCCTCCATCGCACCAAATGCAGGGATTTTAAGGCTGTATCTTTGAAAACAATTAAGAGATAAATTCACGGTGAAAAAATTTTATTTTCCATACAGGCCAACAGATGTTCTCCAGACAGTCAAGTTATTAGATCTTTCCTCTAATCAATTAATTGATGAAAATCAGCTGTATCTGATAGCCCACCTGCCCAGGTAATTTGCCCCTAAATGCCTGATACAATAGTGTTCAGTCAATTCTTAGTGAAGCAGTTTTCATATGCTATGTATGCTTTCTCAATAGAAACGTGGTAACAATGATGGAATTTCTAAATTGAGTAATTCCCTTTGGGAAATTTTCATTTGAATTCATTTAGAAAATTTACTTGTGAACCCTGTATAATGTGGACTATGTCTGTACCAGATAATTTGAAGAATGAATAATTTGACCCTGGTGATAATGCGGAAAGTCTTCATTCATTAAACTCCGGGCAGTAGACCGTGTCTCTTTCCTCTGAGACGCATTTAGCACCTGACATAGCAGTAGGTACTCAAGAACCATTAGGTGACTATGGAGTCATTAGAATACAGGATAAAGAGTTCACTTTGCATGTCCTAAGTTGGACTTTATGGTTTCTAAGTATTTTACATGGGATTAAAAACCCAGGGTGTAGGAAAAAAATTTACAAACCGAGTCTGGTTGATACCCCATAGCATTTTACATTGTTCTGTGTAATCAAATTGTACATTTTGAATTTCAGGTTAGAACAATTAATCCTCTCTGACACTGGAATTTCTTCTCTACATTTTCCGGATGCTGGAATTGGTATATAAGATTAGTAAAGTTCCCCACTGCCCCCCCACACTATACTTCAGCTACTTTCACTTCTACTGTGTAACTTCATTCCTCTTTTTATAGGGTGCAAAACGTCCATGTTCCCATCCTTGAAGTACCTGGTAGTAAACGACAATCAGATATCACAAGTAAGAGCTGCTCGGAGTATGCCCAGCACACTGTTGCCTCTTTCCACTCTCATGGCAGAGTTTGGAGGTTCCTTCTACCAAAAAAGTAAAAAGAAATTTAAATCGAAAGAGAAATACCTCCTCAGAGTGAAACTCCTCATAAGAAGCCAAAAATATTAAGAAAGAAATTAGTTCACTTCACACTTAAGTGGACTTCACACTTAAATGGCACATTAATAGAGTAAAAGGGGCCGGGTGTGGTGGCTCAAGCCTGTAATCCCAGCACTTTGGGAGGTCGAGGCGGGCGGATCACCTGAGGTCGGGAGTTCGAGACCAGCCTGACCAACATGGTGAAACCCCATCTCTACTAAAAAAAAAAAAAAATCGCAAAATTAACCGGGCGTGGTGGCGCATGCCTGTAATCCCAGCTACTCGGGAGGCTGAGGCAGGAGAATCGCCTGAACTCAGGAGGCGGAGGTTGTGATGAGCCGAGATCGCGCCGTTGCTCTCCAGCCTGGGAAACGAGCGAAACTCCATCTCAAAAAACAAAACAAAACAAAACAAAAAACAACAGTAAAAGTATGTGGTCTTTCTAGAGGGGATTGCTTAGTGCATGATGAAATTCCCTGCCTCAGATTAGAACTAGGGACATGCTTTCCTGTTGCTGGTTCAAACTTCTGCAAAAGTGGCATGAACGTACCGCTTTTCATTTATTTCCTTTTGCTGTGTTTCAGTGGTCGTTTTTCAATGAGCTAGAGAAGTTACCAAGTCTACGGGCTTTGTCCTGCCTAAGAAACCCCCTGACCAAAGAGGACAAAGAAGCAGAGACGGCGCGACTACTCATTATCGCCAGCATTGGCCAGCTGAAGACGCTGAACAAATGTGAGGTGAGCACTGGCGTCATGACTAGATATTTTTTAGACTAGAAAATAAATGATTTTAGGCCAGGCGCCGTGGCTCACACCTGTAATCCCAGCACTTTGGGAGGCTGGGGCAGGCTGATCGCTGCAGTCCAGGAGTTTGAGACCAGCCTGGGCAATCTTGTGAAACCCCATCTCTACAAAAAATACAAAAATTAGCTGCATGGTGGCACGCGCCTGTAAGTGCTTGTAGTCCCAGCTACTCAGGAGGCTGAAGTGGGAGAATCACCTGAGCCCGGGAGGCCAAGGCTGCAGTGAGCCATGAACATGCCACTGCACTCCAGCCTGGGCAATGGAGTGAGACCCTGTCTTAATTTAAAAAAAAAAAAAAAAGTAAAAAAATTATTTTTGAATATTGTAAAGGGGGTGAGATGTAGCTTTCCTTGGAATGGTAAAGATTAGCCTTGTGCAGTTTCATAATAGTGGTTCTTTTCCAGCTCCTCAGGAGAGAGTCCTCCACTTAGATCAGTGCAGTATCATTTGAGGCACACCAGGCACCGTCTCCATGTTTTCAGGGAATGTAGGCAGAAAGAACACAGACCACAGAGCTGCTTTCTCCTCCCCTTCTCAGCCACTCTTCCCCATAAAAGTGGGAAGTCCATGCCTTGTCCTTGCCAGCACTTTTGTGCATTCACTGGGAGTCAGTCAGCTCCACCAGAGCAGGCGCCTCCAGGCAGACCTGGGGGAGGCGACCCAGGGTACCTGGTGTAGTCCTGAAACTGGCCTATGCGCAAGTACTCGCATGAATTAAAAGTGTAGGCCAGGCACGGTGGCTGACACCTGTAATCCCAGCACTTTGGGAGGCCGAGGTTGGCAGATCATGAGGTCAGGAGATCGAGACCATCCTGGCTAACACGGCGAAACCCCGTCTCTACTAAAAATACAAAAAAATTAGCCAGGCATTGTGGCATGCACCTGTAATCCCAGCTATTCCAGAGGCTGAGGCAGGAGAATCACTTGAATCTGGGAGGTGGAGGTTGCAGTGAGCTGAGATCATGCCACTGCACTCTAGCCTGGGCGACACAGCGAGACTCCATCTCAAATTAAAAAAAAAAAGAGTGTAAAACTGAAATTCTTTTTTCTTTTCTAATAAACCCCTGAGTTCTGTCAATGTTAAAAAGAAGGGTGAAAACTAGATCTTGTCCCTCTCAATTTGATTATTTTCTGCATGTGCTATGGAGGAAGGACAAGGTGCAAAACGCAAAGGACATGTTAGAAAAAAGCTTTGTAATAGGCTTGTTTTTATGTCACATGAACATAGATTCTCCCCGAGGAGAGGCGGAGAGCTGAGCTTGACTACCGAAAAGCTTTTGGAAATGAGTGGAAACAGGCTGGTGGACATAAGGATCCGGAAAAAAACAGACTCAGCGAAGAATTCCTCACAGCCCATCCCAGATACCAGTTCCTCTGCCTGAGTACGTGCGTATACACTGGTGGCCTTCAGGTGGTGGATTTCCAGCTGGAACAAAGTTTTTTCTTGGGTATCAAAAGAGGTTCTCAGTGTTGCTTTTGCCCTTCTTCCTTTCCTGGGCTTCTTGTATTCATCTGAATGGACTATAGGCACTTTCCTGGGGCGAGGGCGGCAGGGCAAGAGCAGTATCTTTCAGCAGGAGGAACCTGGGAGACTGTTTATGTTCTTGAAATGGAGAGGTTTGCATTTGGGGAAGGGAAAGCAATTCTTTTATTTTTAAGAGATGGAGTTGGCCGGGCGCGGTGGCTCAGGCCTGTAATCCCAGCATTTTGGGAGGCTGAGGCGGGTGGATCACGAGGTCAGGAGATCGAGACCATCCTAGCTAACACGGTGAAACCCCGTCCCTACTAAAAATACAAAAAAAAAAATGAGCCGGGCGTGGTGGCGGGCACCTGTAGTCCCAGCTACTCAGGAGGCTGAGGCAGGAGAATGGTGTGAACCCGGGGGGCGGAGCTTGCAGTGAGCCGAGATCACACCACTGTACTCCAGCCTGGGCGACAGAACGAGACTCCGTCTCAAAACAAAAAAAGAGAGATGGAGTCTTGCTCTGTCGCCCAGGCCCAGGCTGGAGTGATCTCAGCTCACTGTAACCCCTGCCTCCCGGGTTCAATTTATTCTCCTGCCTTAGCCTCCTGAGTAGCTGGGATTAGAGGCGCCCGCCACCACGCCCGACTAATTTTTGTATTTTTAGTAGAGACGGGGTTTCACCATATTGGCCAGGCTGGTCTTGAACTCCTGACCTCAAGTGATCCACCCGCCTCGGCCTGTCAAAGTGCTGAGATTATAGGTGTGAGCCACCGTGCGTAGCAGGAAAGCATTTCTTTTTCTTTTTTTTTCTTTTGAGACAGAGTCTTGCTCTGTCACCCAGGCTGGAGTGCAGTGGCACAATCTCAGCTCATTGCAACCTCCACCTCCTGGGTTCAAGTGATTCTCCTCCCTCAGCTTCCAGAGTAGCTGGGACTACAGGCGCACACCACCATGCCTGGCTAATTTTTGTATATTTATTTTTTGAGACGGAGCCTCGCTCTGTCGCCCAGGCTGGAGTGCAGTGCCGCGATCTCCGCTCACTGCAAGCTCCGCCTCCCGGGTTCACGCCATTCTCCTGCCTCAGCCTCCCGAGTGGCTGGGACTACAGGCGCCCACCACCACACCCGGCTAATTTTTTGTATTTTTAGTAGGGACGGGGTTTCACCGTGTTAGCCAGGATGGTCTCGATCTCCTGACCTTGTGATCCACCCACCTTGGCCTCCCAGAGTGCTGGGATTACAGGCGTGAGCCACCGCGCCCAGCCAGGGAAAGCACTTCTTAAATGTAGGTTCTTCTCTTGCATATGTCCACCAGGTTTCAGGTGGCGCACCATGCTCCACTGTAGGAAGGGTAGGAAGCACTCCAGTTTATGTCTGAGGCATCCGTATATATATATATTTTTTTGAGATGGTGTTTCGCTCTTGTTGCCCAGACTGGAGTCCAATGGCGCGATCTCGGCTCACTGCAACCTCTACCTCCTGGGTTCAAGTGATTCTCCTGCTTCAGCCTCCTGAGAAGCTGGGATTACAGGCGTCTGCCACCATGCCCGGCTAATTTTTTGTATTTTTAGTAGAGATGGGGTTTCACCAGGTTGGCCAGGCTGGTCTCAAACTCCTGAACTCAGGTGATTCGCCCGCCTCAGCCTCCCAAAGTGCTGGGATTACAGGCGAGAGCCACCGCGCCCAGCCGGCATCTGTATTTTTTTAAAGCCCCCCAGGTAATTCTAGTGAATAGGAAAGTTCGTATGAGTGTAGTTCTGCAGTAAGCTCTCGTCCCGAGGGCTCGCTACCAAGGCTGGCACTTGGCATGCACGGTGGTTCCTTAAATCCTCCAGCCTGGTTCTTCAGGCTTTGAAGCTAAGAATTCATGAGTCTTTGTCCCTGATGTACTTTCCATTTTGTTTTGATGACATTATTACTCCACATTTCGCTTTTATGTTATTTCCTTTTTTATATTTCTTAATGCAAGAAGCTCGCTGCATAAACGCTTCAGGCTTGAACAGTATGTTTAAGGAAGAAAAGCAGCCTAGAGGAATCACTTTCAAATGACTCCATTAGCCAGCCCAATCTCCTGGCCACGCTCGGTGAATTCTAAATCACTCGGGGGTGGGCAAGGGAAGATGTGAAGCAGCCGGGCAGGTATTGTTGAGTATTTCACTGCTAAGAATGTTAGAAGACAAAAGCACAGATAGATGGGGGGATTTAGAGAAATGTTGTCACTGTTTGGCCTAGAGCAGGAAAAAAGTACTGCTTTCCTCCTCTCCTGTGGAGGCTGTGGTCCAGGCCTAGGAACTGGTTTGCAGTATGGTACTGAGCACCCAGCCTGGCACTGCACGGTCTGGTGGAAACGTGAGAAGTGTCCTGTGGATCGTGTCTCAGGTGGCACCAGGTTTCTGTCAGCGCAGAAAGAGAACTGTTACCAAAGGTGACACTCGGGGAAAACATTTGAAGTATTTGAAGGCAGTCTTCTCTTGCTAGTTTTGAGTCAGGACACCTAAGGAACAATGATGTAATACACATGTAAACATGTTGCTTTTCATTTGTTGTCTTTTGTTGAGTTTCACTGGTCATTAACAATGAGCTAGATAAGCTACAGAGTCTGCAGCTCTGGGTAGATAGAAGATTCTGCCCTTGGAAGTGGTCGTTGTCCATCACTCCTAAAAATCACACTGAATAAAGGCAGCTCCATGTGTCCTGGGAAAGGCACAGGCTCTCTGGACGCTTACCTATCCTTTGTTTGTTTGTTTGTTTTGTTTTTACTTATAGTGGCCTTTGGTTTATCATTCATCTCTTTTGCTTTCTTAAACAGAATATGGTGCACCTGAAGATTGGGAACTCAAAACACAGCAACCACTTATGCTGAAAAACCAGCTACTAAGTAAGAATCTCAGATTCAAATAGTTTATTTGTATTTGAGTGCTTAGGTGCTGAAACAGTTAGTGTGTTTCTCTTAAGTGTGTACCTCTTAAGTACCTAAGTAAATGCCTTGAGTTTTAAATGAAAATTTTTTTTTTTTTTTTTGAGACAGAGTCTCCCTCTGTCTCCCAGGCTGGAGTGCAGTGGTGTGATCTCAGCTCATTGCAACCTCCGCCTCCCAGGTTCTAAGCGATTCTCCTGCCTCAGCCTCTGGAGTAGCTGGGACTACAGGCATACACAACCATGCCCGGCTAATTTTTTTTAATCGAGACGGAGTTTTGCTCTTGTTGCCCAGACTGGAGTGCAGTGGCACGATCTTGGCTCACCGCAACCTCCGCCTCCCGGGTTCAAGCGATTTTCGTGCCTTAGCCTCCCGAGTAGCTGGGATTACAGGCATGCGCCACCACACCCAGTTAATTTTGTATTTTTAGTAGAGATGGGGTTTCACCATGTTGGCCAGGCTGGTCTCAAACTCCTGACCTCAGGAGATCCACCCGCCTCGGCCTCCCAAAGTGCTAGGATTAGCGGCATGAGCTACCGCGCCCTGTCAAAGAAATGAATTCTTTAAAACATGTTTAAATTCTTATACATTTTTGTAACTCCTATGTTTTAAACTCATTTAATAGTGTTATAAATGTGGGAGGTATTGGAGTTGTGAACCAAATTGTGATTTGTGAATTTATGACTTGAAAACCTAGCCAAGCTGTAAGGAAAGAAGTACTAAGTGGGGAAAAGGGAAAGTATTGTCCAGCTATTTCTGTTGTTGTTAGCAATCCATGGAAGGATTAATAGAAAGAATTTTAAACATTGATTAGACCTGCCAATTTGCACTGAATACCTCTATCATTTGGCCATCTGTTGATGTGTGTGGATAATTTAAATCCATATAATAGTAGATATCAATTAGTCTTTTTCTTTGTTTCTCTTAAAGCACTGAAGATAAAATACCCTCATCAACTTGATCAGAAAGTCCTGGAGAAACAACTGCCGGGTAAGAAGAACCAGCCTGTCTTTTCCTTAAACTCTGAATCATCGGCCTAGGTATGAGTCAGCTAAAATTAAAACCTTTAACTCATGTCTCAAAGTGTGGACCTCAGAACTTACAGGTTTTCATTAGTCTTTTATATTCTAAAATACAATCAATCATGCTAATATCACTCCCCCATGCCCCCAAAAGTTCAGGTCTCCCCTAACTTTATCAGCTGAAAGCAGTTCTGTTAAAATTGGAAGCCCCTGCATATAATTACACACACACACACACACACATATATATATACACACACACACACAATTTTTTTTGAGACAGGGCCTCACTCTGTCACCCAGGTTGGAATGCAGTGGCACCAACTCAGCTCACGGCAGCCTCTGCTTCCTGGGCCCAAGCAATTCTCCAGCCTCAGCCTCCACGTAGCTGGGACTACACGTGCGAGCCACCAACGCCCAGCTAATTTTTGTATTTTTTGTAGAGATGGGTTTTCGCCATGTTGCCCAGGCTGGTCTCGAATTCCTGAGCTCAAAGCCATCCTCCTGCCTCAGCCTCCCAGTGTTGGAATTAATTACAGGCATGAGCCACTGCAGTTGGCCTAAGTTGTATTTTTAACCAAAAAACCTGAGACCTTGAATGGCATAGCCTTTTGGAAGCATTCCCCAAGCCTGCTGCTGTTTCCAGGGAGACTGTGACACTGGGTTTGGGGTCTGCTTCTCATCCCTTCATAAGAGAGGAGCTGTGTCCTGGTGAACCAAATTCTTACGGGAGGTTTGTGACTTTGCTTACATTCTACTTCTCCTGACTGATTAGGAGTCCCTGCAAAAACAATTCGCAGATGCTCTTTTAATGGACACCCTGAAATGGTTTTCTTTGAGAAAGCTACCTTAGAACTTAAAAAAATTGTGGTACTGGAACTGAATTACTTTTATTTGGAAAATAAATATGCTTGTGTCAATAAAGTAGATCAACATAACTTACCTTAAACTTTCACTCAAAAGAAAAATGAAATTATAGTCTATTTTTGAGTATGCCATGATACTGTGAATTCTCAAGATTAAACTTGATTCATAGCTAAATGCTAAAATATAAATAATTTAGAGCAGTGAGGATTTAAATAAATGAAATACACATCAGCTTAATGACTCTAGTACACTGGGTTTCTTTGCCCATCAGTGCAGTAAATTCACATTGATTTTTAAATTAGTTTCTATCAGATAAAGCAAGCTTATCATGGTATTGCTTATAGAAGGCCTTAGTTGTGTTCAAAGAAGTACCTTTCTGATTGATAACCATCCATTTAATTTACCACAACGTCTCCATTTTTATTTATTCACAATCCAGTTTCTACTCCTGTAATATGTAATTTGGCTACTGCTATATAATGGGTTAGAATTAGTGATTTCCCCCTTCATTATTCTGTTTTCAAACTTAGACAGACAGTAAAGGCCCTGGTGGAGACAGACTAGTCAAAGAGGGCCAGGACTGTTTTATTTTTGATATATTTTTTTCAGATGGGGTCTGGCTGTCACTCACGCTGGAGTGCAGTGGTGCCATCTCAGCTCACTGCAGGCTCCATCACCTTGATCCCGGGCTCAAGTGATCCTCCTACCTCAGCCTCCTGAGTAGCTGGGACTATAGGCACGAACCACCACACCCCGCTAATTTTTTTGATTTTTAGTAGAGATGAAGCCTCGCTATGTTGCTAAGGCTGGCCTCAAACTCCTGAGCTCAAGCAGTTCTCCTGTCATCACCTCCCAAAGTGCTGGGGTTATAGGTGTGAGCCACCATGCCTGGCAGGCCAGGACTTTCTGTGAATGTTTTTGGCCTTCGATGTCTTTGCGTGTTTCCTTTTGCCTTTGCAGATACATCAAATCAATTCATGGGAATGTTACCACTATAGAGTATTTGCTCAAGAATATTGTCATTAGACCTGTTTCGTTAAGCTTTCCTTTTCAGTCTTTCTCTGGAAGGCACTGAGGTAGACCTGCCAAGGCCTGCCGTCTGGGCATATGCCTGAATGCAGCCCTTGGCTGGGGGTGACAGTGCCGCCTTACCCTTCTCTACTTCCACACTGTACACCTGACTGGTATCCCAGGTCTTCTGAGATTCAGTTAGCCATTTTGGGAACACCCACTGCATTCATGCTGTTTTTATTAATCTTTGGGTAGCTAGCAGAGATTCGACTATCCATAGAAATTATATGTAAGAATTACTACTTTAAACTATTCAGAATCTGAGTCCTATATTCTATAAATTCAGCAGTAAGCCAGCAGATTACAAGGGTTCCTTTTTTTCCCCTTTTTTATTTGCTTTTCTGTTTCTCAAATGTGCACTCACTCACTCACTCATACAAAGGTTCTTAATACTAATTCTTATGCCACATGCTGTGAATATTTAACCACTAACATAGGTAAATGTCTTCTAAACAGAAAAGTAATAGCCAGGCATGGTGGCTCACACCTGTAATCCTAGCACTTTGGGAGGCCAAGGTGGGCAAATTGCTTGAGCCCAGGAGTTCGAGACCAGCCTGAGCAACATGGTGAAACCCCGTCTCTACAAAAATAAATAAATACAAAAATTAGCTGGGTGTGGTGGTGCATGCCTGTAGTCCCAGCTGCTTGGGCGGCTGAGGTGGGAGGATCACTTGAGCCTGGGAAGTTGAGGCTGCAGTGAGCTGTGATTGAGCCACTGCAATCTGGCCTGGGTGACAGAGTGAGGCCCTGTCTAAAATTAAAACAAAACAAAACAAAACTGCAATATCTTTTTTTTTATCCATTAGATTAGCAAAATTAAAATAATACTGGCTGGCATGAAAAAGCAGTATACCCTTTTTTAAAGTCATGTGGGAACTACTATAAAAAGTTAAAAATACACATATGCTCTGACCAAGCATTGTATCTTGCAGCATTTGTAATGGTAAAGATAGTAAGAATCTAAGTACTTGCCAGCGGAGGAATGGTGAATAAGCTCTGGTGGAACCACACAGCACACAAGGCACTGTCGTGTGTCACCGAGGAGAGTGAAGCAGTCTAGAGCTGCGCTGTCCAGTGTGGCTGCAATAACCACATGTGGCTATTTAAATTCATTAAAATAAAATAAATTGAGTTCTTCAGTCATACTCGCCGCTTTCCAGGTGCTCAGTACCACATGTGGCTGCCATACTGGGCAGTGTATGGCTAGAGGACATGGCATGGAATTGGCATGAAAAGCTATACCATCATGTCATAAAGAAATACAAATGTAGTACGTCAATATATTATAAAACCTATACATCCTTTTTTTTTTGAGACGGAGTCTCATTCTGTCACCCAGGCTAGAGTGCAGTGGCATGATCTCGGCTCACTGCAAACTCTGCCTTCCGGGTTCAAGCAACTCTCCCGGCCTCAGCTTCCCAAGTAGCTGGGATAACAGGTGCCCGCCACCATGCCTGGCTAATTTTTGTATTTTTAGTAGAGACGGGGTTTCTCCATGTTGGCCAGGCTGGTCTCAAACTCCTGACCTCAGATGATCCGCCCGCCTCGGCCTCCCAAAGTGTTGGGATTACAGGCGTGAGCCACTGCGCCTGGCTTAAAACCTATACATCCTTATATGAACACAGAAAAAAAAAGGCCTAGAGGTATACCTCTCAAATTTTTAACACTGGTCATAGGCAGGTAAAAAGAAATAATCAGCTATTTCCATATTTTCTGAATGTTAAGACAGTCATGTTACTATATTAAAAATGGTAATGCTATTTATTACATAGAGATTGCTACTTTCTTCTATAGAACCGGTATGAGTAGGCAGGTTTTTTTTTTTTTTTTGAGACAGGTTCTCACTTTGTTACCCAGGCTGGATGGAGTACAGTGGCGCGATCATGGCTCACTGTAGCCTTGACCTCCTGGGCTCAAGTGATCCTCCCAAGTAGCTGGGACTAGAGGCGTACATCGCTATGCTTGGCTAATTTTTTATTTTTTGTAGAGATGGGGTATCCTCATGTTGCCCAGGCTGGTCTCAAATTCCTGGGCTCTGATCCCTCTGCCTCCCAAAGTGCTGGGGTTACAGGTGTGAGCAGGCCAGGCAGATTTCTTATTAGAACTGTTTTATGACCAAACTTTTTGTTTCTGGCATGTGTTAGGAGTATGTCACTCCCCACTGGTGTGCAGCAGGTAACCCCTTCTCTCACCAGCCTTCAAACAATGAAAGCCAGTCCGTCTCAATCTTTTGAAAGGACTAGACTATCACATATTCACACATGAAAGAGCAAATTGTTAATTAAAATTATAAATTCTATTAACTGTATTCAATACATACAAAAAGGCCAGTTTTTATTCTAAAATAAAGAACATTTATTATCACAAGTTGGATAAAAACACACAGCTTTTACAAAAATGATTTTTGATAGAAAAATATGTTTGAATACACTGTGATATTTGTAGGAACACCACACTATTGCTGTATCTCCAGCTAAAGCTTCAAGGAAACTCTATTTCTTATAATCAAAATATCCACTATTTACCACAACCCGTCTTTGGAAAGAAGTTCATAGTGTATTCTGAACAAACCAAAGCATTTACTCGGAAGTTACATTCCCATGCCTGGCAGTCACTTGTGTATGTTTAATACAGTTACACATGATGTAATTACAGAATGGCGGCGCTGGAAGGGACCTTGTAGATCATTTAGTTGGCACCCTAATTTTACAGAGGGGGAACTAAGGCCAGAGTTGAGAGATGTCCTCAGGATACCTGAGTCCCATTCCAGTGTTCGTTCAGTAATTCATAAGGAAGTCATCATAAAGGTTTAAAAAGAAAACGTTAATGACTCGCTCCCTTTATTCTTCTGTGCTGAGAGTATCATTCTGGTTTATTCAGATTAAGAAAGAAATACACTACTGAAATGGTATGAAACTCACTGTCAAAGGGCACTTAGGTCCGTTGGCTCCGTTTCCCACAGTTCCCCAAATGAACAGGTGGTACAAGACTCAGGCTTTCCCCTAATTACTTACTTGGGTAAAGTGACTTGGGTAAAATGAAAGATACAGCCAGGCGCTGGGCTCATGCTTGTAATCCCAGCACTTTGGGGGGCCAGGGCGGGCGGATCACGAGGTCAGGAGTTCAAGACCAGCCTGGCCAACATGGTGAAACCCCGTCTCTACTAAAAATACAAAAGTTAGCTGGGTGTGGTGATGGGCACCAGCTACTCAGGAGGCTGAGGCAGGAGAATTGTTTGAACCCGGGAAGCGGAGGTTGCAGTGAGCCGAGATTACACCATTGCACTCCAGCCTGGGCGACAGAGCAAGACTTACTTAAGTAAGTAAGTAAGTCAGTCTCAAAAAAAAAAAAAAAAAAAAGACAGATACAGCTATCATTGCAATGATACTGTGGTCTCATCACATGAGCTAGTTTTACAGGTAACTGTCATTTGAGAGAACGAATGGACTTTTCTTGTCTTTTGATAGGCTCCATGACAATTCAAAAGGTGAAGGGATTGCTGTCACGTCTTCTCAAAGTTCCTGTGTCAGACCTTCTGTTGTCCTATGAAAGTCCCAAAGTAAGTTGCCCAGCAAAATACAAAGTCAAAGTCAAGCTTAGTCCTCGTATTATGACATTAAACTGTCTCTAGATAGCAACAGTTTGATTCTAAATGGAGACCATGGGTCTGTTTGTTTGATTTTAAGGGTAAGCTACTGCCTGGGGACGGGGTGGGGGAAGAGTATGTGTAGCATGCTTTATCGGATCTGTCTTAATCACATCCTTCCCCACCTTCGTTCTAATTTTAGAAGCCGGGCAGAGAAATCGAGCTGGAAAATGACCTAAAGTCATTACAGTTTTATTCTGTGGAAAATGGAGATTGTCTATTAGTGCGATGGTGACAACCAACTAATAAAATTTAAAGACCACACTGCTTATCGTGTCTGGGGTTCACCGGAAATAAATGATTCACTGGAACAATTCTACTGTCAAAACAAAGGGGGTTTACAACTTGTCCTAAGTATAACAAGGGATGTATTTTTTGTTGGGAAGTGACCATTTCTAGGCTTATACATAATAGCAATAATAAAGGCTTTGAACCTACTAATGATTTTCTGATCTTATTTCATATTTATTTTTACAGCTCATCACTGCATTTCATGATAAGATTTAAATATTAAATAGAAAGAAACTAGCTAGCCTAATAAAATCTGAACACAGTTAATATCTGTCATAAGACTAGTTTTAATGGAATTCTCTATTGAAACTACTATTTTAAAGGGTTACTAGAAATGATTTGGTTGGTCATTTTGGGAAATGTCCCTTAAACTTGGGGAGACATCCTCTACTATGTATAACAATATGCTATTATCTGTCTTCTCAGTTGCACTATTTCTAAGAGTACTTAAATTAATCACATGCTTTTCCCTACAATTATACCTAAGCTGAGTATATCTTCTTCTGTGATAACCAGCTTTGATTGAAATGTACTCATATTAGGTAAACATTAGGCAATGATAGGAGGAAAGCAAAACTAATTCTTTCAAAATGTCAACAAAATTTAGAAATATCCTTCCCGATGGCACTAAAACCCTGAGAGGTATTTGCTTTTATTCATACTCACACAACTTTAGCATTTAAAAACTATGAGTACTAAACTGTGACCTTCAGGATTTATGTTAGATGGCAGAAAGAAAATTTGGGTATTAGTCTACCATATAAATGAACTTCTTTAAAACCAAGGTTCAGAACTGAGAATCATATTGGTTCCTCTTCAAGTTAGTTCAAGTTGCCCACTTCAGAGATCCACAAAATCTGACATTATTTCCAGAAACCCCAAACTTTGGTATAAGTGACCACTGCTCAAATATGTGATCACATGATCACACAGCATTCCTGTGAGTTCCTTTTTGTCTGATAATTATCCTAATTAGCTCTACAGAGCTATCCTGCAATCCAGGTTGAAATTCAAACTCTCAGTTACTACTACAGATTTCTGAACTAGGCCAAGTTTTAACCAAAAACTATAGGTAATGGTGAATTACTAATTAGCCACAATGCATCAGGATTTAGAAATATTTTTTCTTTTATAAAATAACTTGGTATTTTTCTGATAATCTTCCAATAGATAAATAAAAACTTTTCTTATGCTACAGTACAAGTTGATTTTTAAGGAAATTTGTGCAAACATTAAGAAACACCGCATTGGTTCTGGGTGAAAGTGCCAGTCTGGAACTCTCTTGAAAGACCATACAGTCTACTGCTAAACCCTGGGACTCCTCAGACTTGCACTCAGATTATCGTTTGCCTGCCCTGATTTTAGACTCTGCTAATTCAAGTCCCTGTTATCTTGCTTGACATCGACAAGGATCACCGCACCGTTCCTTCAGTTTCCACAGTTCCGTCAGTTCCCACGGAGAATACTGAGGAGAAGACAGCATTCCTGTCTCACAGGTCTTCTCACACAGCCACAGACTGTCCTGTTGAGAAACAACCAAAGCCGATCTGAGAGTGGTGAAACTGTTTTAAGAGCATCAGAAAGTATGCACGTAGACAGCTTTTATGTATTCTAATGATGCTGAAATTATTTCAAGGATAACTCCGTGTGTGGAACAACTGGTGAGGTTTGGGGGTGGCACCTCCTGATTTGGGAAAGCACCAGGTCCCACAGTCCTGTGGCTGTGGAATACAGAAACAAGGCGGTGTGTGGATGAAGAGTTAGTCAACAAATGCCATTCCGTAATGAACGATTTTAGAAACCACAAGTGAGTTTCATGTTTGCTAGTAAAGGTGTGTCTATGGCAGTATTAGTAACAGCTATTATTCTGATGGAATGCTTACAATATTGCAGGGACTGTACCAAGTGCTTTGTAAATATCTCACTTAAATCTCACAGTAATGCTGTGAGGTAGGAACTATTTCCCTCTTAACAATTGAGGAACAAACGAAGAGTTAAAAAACTTGTTCCAGGTCACAGGGCTGGTAAATGAAGAGGAGGGATTAAAGACTCCCAAGCTCAAGTTCTTAACCACTAGACTATTTCCTAGCTACGTGAATTGGTTTCTATTTCCAGCAATGTAGCAGAACACAGAGAGAAACTCATTCAATGTTTTGACAACACAAAAATGTTGGATAAAATTAAAAACCTTTATAAAGCATGGCTCAACTCCGTGATCAAAGAAGAAACAGGGTAGGAGAAAGCACTGAGTCAGCCTGTGCCTTGAAGGCAGCTGCTGATCCTTGGGTTTGGAAGGCCAAGCCCAGGGTCAGGAGACTAATGGGAGACTGACACAGAGCTAGGATCTCTGAGGGGCCACAGCCTCAGGGGTGATAAAACAAAACACACTCAGCTTGTCTGTCTCAGTCTTGCCCCTCAGTGGGATGGAAAGGAGTCTCTCTCCCCTCAGTGCCTACCCACAGCTTGCACTTAGGTAGGTCTGGGGCTGGTAGTCAGTCTGTGTAAGCCCAACAGTTCCAAGCCAAAAATCTGAAGTATTCATAGATGGTAGTATTCCTAGATGCATGGCAGAAAAAAATGTAAATATGTAAATCCTCTCTGTAGGAATGCATTTTAAATAGAGGACTCAGTTTCCAAAGACATGAGATGGTCACAAAAAAAAAAAAAAAAAAAAGACCGCATCAGAAAACAAGCGCCATGAACAACAGTTGTAGAAACAACAAACTGCAAAATCAGACCCAGCAAAGACTACAGATCCCAGAATTACCAGATACAAAAAAGAATTATATTCAAAGATGAGACAAAGTACAGCAAAGGAATCAGACTATCAAAGTGGACCATGTAGATGTGGGTTGATTTCTTGTCCTGGACTGAGAGCTGCTCTGGGACCCCAGCTCTATGCAGGGCTTCTAACTGACAGACACTGCATGTGCCTTCTGTCCCCTGCACCTTCGATGGCCAAAGTGGAAGCTGCAAGAATCCAGAACAGAAATCTCTGAAGCTAAAGCCAGCTTTGTGCTTGATTTCTTCCCAGGGCTCTAGTTTCCATTTTGGTCTCTGCAGATTCATTTTTTTTTCTGGTTCAGCAATACTGTGTTTTAAATGATGTCTTATATTTCATGCAGTGTCTTATTTTTATCGGTCAGAAGGGTTGAAGGATCCTTAGACTGCCACACTCAATCAGTGGATTCTGTCGTTCAGTTTTTTTTTTTGAGACGGAGTCTCGCTCTGTCGCCCAGGCTGGAGTACAGTGGTGTGATCTTGGCTCACTGCAAGCTCTGCCCCCCGGGTTCATGCCATTCTCCTGCCTCAGCCTTCTGAGTAGCTGGGACCACAGGCGCCCGCCACTATGCCTGGCTAATTTTTTTTGTATTTTTAGTAGAGATGGGGTTTCACCGTGTTAGCCAGGATGGTCTCCATCTCCTGACCTCATGATCTGCCCGCCTCGGCCTTCTGTTGTTAAGTTTTAAAGCTGCAAATAATTTCTGATCAAATCTATGGAAACTGAGTTTTTTTGTAGGCAGGGGAACGTTGATTTATAACCTTTTGCTTTAAACTCAGAAAAATACTGTATGAGAAATAACCTAGTGGATTATTGTGAATTAAAGCAACAGCATAACTATTATGGTAGAAGATCCTCATTCTTTCTGCCCATGGTGTGATAAACATTACAGGTTGAGCATTCCAAATCTGAAAATTTGAAATCCAAAATGCTCCAAAATCCAAAACTTTTTTTTTTTTTTTGAGACAGGGTCTCTCTCACTCTGTTGCCCAGGTGGGAGTGCAGTGGTGCATTCACAGCTCCCTGCACCCTCGACCTCCCAGGCTCAAGTTGATCCTCCTACCTTAGCCTCCTGAGTAGCTGGGACCACAGGCAGGCGCTGCCATGCCCAGCTAATTTTTTTGTAGTTTTTGTAGAGACGGGGGGTTTCACCATGTTGCCCAGGCTGGTCTTGAACTCCTGGGCTCAAGTGATACACCCACCTTGGCCTCCCAAAGTGTTGGGATTACAGGCATGTGCCACTATGCCCAGCCCAAAACTTTTTGAGAGCCAACATGACACTCAAAGGAAATGCTCACTGAAGCATTTCAGATTTTCAGATTTGGAATGTGCAACTTCTAAGTATAATGCAATTATTCTAAAATCCAAAAAAATCTGAAATCCTAAATACTTCTGGTCCCAGGCATTTTGGATAAAGAACACTCAACCTGTATATAGAAATCCACCTCCTCAACTCTTAAGAACCCTGAGGCCATCCCCAAAGACTTACCTGGTATCTTTTAGGTCCTATGGCAGCCATCCAGATGCCCATGCTTACATCTTCACCCTATACATGGCCCATAAAGTTTAAATGTAAAAATTTTAATGCTATTTTATTTGTAAAGACAAAACCATAGCCACTCCCATCATAAACCACCTTTCTACTTTTTTGCTCTGTTATTATTCTAATATGAAATAGCAAAAATGGGTTCACATGAAGTCAAAGCTAGTGGTCTTTAATATGAAGCACCCCTGCCACAAGGTAATAAGATGAAACCGCGAGCAGACGACCCATCCTTCTCATGTACCTTAAGCTTCCAGGAAGCACTTAGGGCTTCCTCCTTAGGAATAAAAATCTTTCTATTCCTCCAGGGACTATACTTTTTTTTTTTTTGAGACAGAGTGTCCCTCTGTCGCCCAGGCTGGCATGCAGTGGCGCAATCTCAGCTCACTGCAAACTCCGCCTCCGGGTTCACATGATTCTCCTCCTCAGCCTCCCAAGTAGTTGGGAATATAGGTGTGCGCCCAGCTAATTTTTTGTATTTTTAGTAGAGATAGGGTTTTGCCATGTTGGCCAGGCTGGTTTTGAACTCCTAACCTCACGTGATCTGCCTGCCTTGGCGTCCGAAAGTGCTACAATTACAGGCATGAGCCACAGTGCCCAGCCTCCAGGGATGACACCTGTAAATACTAGCTGAAAACATAATAAGTAGGCTCAAAAAAGATTTAGGAATAGAATTTAAAGGCAAGATTTGAGGGATGTAGGGGTGCATCCTTAACCTTTGAGAGGTGATTCCTATACAGAGAATAACGTGCTTTTCCCCAAGGTAAGTGGGTTCTGCTTTCCATGATGGGATGCCGAGTGAGATGAAACTTGGTGTGATGAGTGTATACGTAGGTGGGAAATCCTTAATTTTTTGTTTTTATTTTATTTTTTATTATAGAGATGGGGTCTTGCTATGTTACCCAGGCTGGTCTTGAATTCCTGGGCTCAAGTGATCTACCCGCCTTAGCCTCCCAAAGTGTTGTGATTACTGGCAAGAGCCACCACGCCAAGCTAAGAAATTCTTAATTACCTGATAGGTCTTTAACCTCCCCGAGTTGCTTGCCAGCCACTTGACGATGTCCTTGGAGATCACATATCCTGACCCACATGCAAAGGCAGGGTAAGCGGGGCTCGGGTACTCCAACTCCTGCCACTTTCCGGTTCGGTCAACTGCCCAATTCAGTCTGAAACTGAGATGAAAAATAATGTGGCCTCTTGTGTTAGTCTGACACATATCCTGCCACTATTAAAACTTGACTCCTTTATCATCACTACAAAGGAATAAGCTTGTAGAAGTGAGGAAAGAAAATAAGAAAATTTCTTTTTTTTTGAGATGGAGTTTTGCTCTTGTTGCTCAGGCTGGAGTGTAGTGGTGCCATCTCGGCTCACTGCAACCTCTGCCTCCTGGGTTCAAGCAATTCTCCTGCCTCAGCCTCCCGAGTAGCTGGGATTACAGGCGCACACCATCATGACCAGCTAATTTTTTATATTTTTAGTAGAGACAGGGTTTTGCCATGTTGTCCAGGCTGGTCTTGAACTCCTGACTTTGGGTGATCCACCCTCCTCAGCCTCCCAAAGTGCTGGGATTACAGGCGTGAGCCACTGCCCTTCCAGAAAAAAATTTTCTTAATCTAAGGAAAGGAATTATCATTTATCCAGTGTTGTTTTAGATAAAAGATTGGTTATGTTAAATTTTCTCAAAGTTGCATTTGTAGAGTTTCTGAATGAAAAGCACTAGAAGATCACCCTGTGTTTTAGTATATATGAAAACAAAAAACCAAATCACTAATCCATATTGTATTCCTGAGGAAGCACAGAAAATGGTTTCAGAGACGTGTCACAAACGTACTCTAACAAAATATACAGTAGCTTCTAATGTGAATACCATTTATTTCTTTGGCATAAGAATAAAAGCCATATTGTTTTCCCTCCTTTACTACATTAGCCTGAGGCTTTTCATTTAAAAAATAATTTCCTCCAATTGTACAGTAATATAAAATTTATTATTATTATTAAGACAGGGTCTCCCTCTGTTGCCCAGGCTGGAGTGCAGTTGCAAAATCATAGCTCACTGCAGCCTCCAACTCCTGGGCTCAAGCAGTCTCCCTGCCTCAGCCTCTCAAGTAGCTAAGGGCTACAGGCTCACATCACCTTTTTAATTTTTTGTAGGGACAGGGTCTTGCAACGTTGCCCAGGCTAGTTTTGAACTCTTGGCCTCAAAGGATCCTCCCACCTCAGCCTTCCCAAAACTCTGGGATGACAGATGTGAGCCAGCATGACTGACCTAGAGTAATGAAATATATATAAACCCAGGAGTCTAGTACGAAATTGTATATCTCAACCACATTTTCAAAAAAAAAAGATATTTTATGCTTTATTAATTACATTTGATCAGGTACACGAATGCCAATGGGCTAAGAATGGTTAACTTACTTTCCCCACCAAAAATTAGGCCCATCCAGATTCTTTTGGACAATCCTATTAAATACAGCTTCGAGGTCTATGTAACAGTCATCATCTGTCTTCAGCAACAAATTGAAGCTCGTTGTTTCCACAGTCCTGTTGACACAAAAGGGATAAGAAAGTCAGTGCGACCAAACAAACAAACACCAATGCAGTGGCGTCACTAACACTTTCATTCAAAACTGTACCTGTCATTATCTAAATTTCTTATTCCTCAAATGTTGAGAACATTTGCTCTAACAAAATTTTGCTGCTATCAACTAAGGCCATCACTTGGTCTTTACTAAATGGCATAACACAGAGAAGTACTAACCTGATTTTAAAAGGCAAAGAAAGAGCATATTGAAGGAAAATATCTGGCTTAAATGGAACATATGTTCAAACAAATGCTTCTTAGGCATCATTCAACTCCTGCTGCCAAATCTATTAAACGCCTGAACCTTGCCCCGTGTGTTCTTAATAACAAAGGCCCAGCATAATGAATTAGGTGTTACATCTGGGCCTCTCACACAGAACGCTATTGTACAAGATGCATCCGATGCTATTTATATTACACTCAAAATATTTTATGGCTTAAAAAAACCTGACTTATTACATTGAAACATATTTTCCCTTGGAAACAACTTCTAGCAATTAAACCATTATAAATGACCTTCTGGAAGGCAAAGGATAGTGACTTCATTATCTAGACGTAAAATATATAATCATGACTAAAGACAAAATTGACTCCTTCATTTCACATTGACAGTCCCTGTACATCTGTTTAAAAATGCAGTTTTGCTAGGGTGCCAGTCATATGTCAGAAATCTCAATAAAATAAATTTAGAATTTCATTAGGTCCAAGAATGGTGAATTTAACAATAATGGGTCCACACCAAATAGCATCACCCCATGTTTCTAAAGTTTATTTCCAATTAACAGCAGAAGGCATACATAATATTTGCTAATTAGAAATTTCATGATAAAGAATATTTAGGTCACTGATAACTGAAATAATGAGGAAGAAATAATGAAACTCATTTGTAGTGTGGAGATGGGTGATGCCAGCTATGGGGACGCAGGTCCCAGATCAGAGTCCTGTTGAAGGTTACTGCAGCGATCCAGGGAGAGAAGGTGGCAGCCAACAATAGCGGCAGCGGAGACTAAGGGAGAGGCTAAGATACTTCCACGCCTAGGAAATATCTTGCTCTAAAGAGTATCCGGGGCTGACTCTTAGCCCTGACTTCCCACCCTCGGGACTTCCATGCCCATTCCTCATCTCAGCCTCACCTACAATTGCAACTCTCATTTGCGGCCCCAAATTAAAAGGAGGTTCTTTTTCTTACTACAGCTGCCTAAACTTAACCTAGTATTCGACACACCCAGATTTCCAACCCTCATTTACCTCTGCTCTCTACTCACAGGATGAGTCCCAAATTATATTAATTTGCCCCAGCAGGCCAGGTGTGGTGGCTCACGCCTATAATCCCAGCACTTTGGGAGGCCAAGGCAGGAAGACTGCTTGAGACCTCATTTCTATTAAAAAATAAATAAATAAATAAATAAATAAATAATTTGCCCCAGCTAAGAAACATTACCTTCCATAAACCAATTAGACCATCTACCCCTCAGGACCAGGGAACTGTATCCGTAAAGTACTGTTCTTGGTAACTTCCCACTCTGCCTAGGGCAACAGAGAAGAAAAGAAAGAGACAGACCCTGGGCCTCACACCAAGGAACAGAAGAAGGTTTTTAAAAATAAAAGTGAAAAAAATAAAAAGTGAATACCCTTTATAGGTTTGGCCTAATCAGAGATAGGTTTGAAAGTTTTGGCTCCATGGTCAGGACAGACAGTACCAGGAAACTCAACATAAAATTTTGAGATCCTAGAGTAACTAATAATTCTAATAACTATACGTTAAGATTATATAGATATATAATATGTATGTTACTATTATTATATATTGTTGCTGTTATTCTTGTTATAAAAGTAGGAATTAAAAGTAAGTTCCAAGAAACACTGGAGGGTCTGGGAAATTATAAATATGATAGATTCTGGGAGTTGTGGAATTTTAGTAAGCCAGCCACATAAGAGTTTTAGAATCAGGGAGGTAGTTTTTAAACGGATGGAGTAGAGACTGGAAGTATAAGGTGGATATTCAGTAGAAGAGAATGCCTATCAGTAACCTAAATGTGAGTGACTATAACTGGGGAATCTGGGTAGGTGGGTATAAATACAACTAAAAATGGACCATTCCCAAACTCACTGATTTTTATCTAATGCTGGCTTGAGACAACCGAGGCAAGCAGAAATGACTCAAAATGAATCAACTTTTTTTTTTTTTTTCTTTTTTTTTGAGACGGAGTCTCACTCTGCTGCCCAGGCTGGAGTGCAGTGGTGTGATCTTGGCTCACTGCAACCTCCGCCTTCTGGGTTCAAGTGATTTTCATGCCTCAGCCCCCCTGAGTGGCTGGCATTATAGGCGCTCGCCACCACACTTGGCTAATTTTTGTATTTTTAGTAGAAACAGGGTTTCACCATGTTGGCCAGGCTGGTCTCAGACTCCAGATCTCAAGTGATCTGCCTGCCTTGGCTTCCCAAAGTGCTGCCGGCAGGCATAAGCCACCAGCCAATTTTTGCCGTGTTTTTGATAGGTTAATATCACATTGTGGATCTTTATCAAAATAAAGTGGCAGCATCTTAGAAGCTCAGTTTTCGCAAGGAACTGGGATACAATAGGTCATATCCCAGGTGCTCAGTGTCCTTAGGTTTGTTTTTATTTGCTGAAATCTCAGTGGTTTGAAGTTGATAAATTGTCTCGATAGCAAAAGAACAATAAGGCACAGTGTCATGTGCCTGTAATCTTACCTACTCAGGAGGCTAAGGCAGGAGGTTTGCCTGCACTCAGGAGTTCAAGACCAGCCTAGGAAACCCCTAGTAAGGGGTTTCCTTACAGCCTAGTAAGACCCCATCTCAAAAAAAAAAAAACTAACAATAAAACAAGTTCTAGCTACCCAACATTTTTACAACCTACCATCTATAGAAGTTCAATAATTTTGCAGGAACATTACGATAAGTGTCGACAACATCCACAAAAACAATATCATCATAGATGCTGCTTTCCTCCTTCAGTAAGGCATCTTCCTCATGGAGATTCCTTATATGATCAATAAGTCTTTGAGGGCGAGAATGAAGGTTGTGTAAGAGAGCATCACCTTCTATAAAGGAAAAGTTGAGAGTTGGAGAAAAATGCTGTTGTAAAGTTACCATTCAGAACTGATGATGTACACTAAAGTTCTTTTCCCAAGGTAACCCAGCAGAAACACATGCAGTTGTTTGGAACTTTAGGTAGAAAAATGGGAACTCTCATACACTGCCAGTAGGATTAAGTGGATGCTCCCACTCTGGAAAGCAATTTGGCAATATCTATTTAGGCTGAAAATGTGTACACCTTATGGTTCAGTTGAGGCCACTTGTAGATATATCCCTACTAACATTATTTCACATGAGGATATTAATTACAGCATTGTTTGTAATTGTGGAAGAAAAATGGGACCAACCTAAATGTCCACTGAGAGAAAAAAAAAAAACAGCCAAGTTGTGGTATATTCACATAATGAAATATAGCAGTTAAAAAAATTACCCTGATCTTGCATGTTAAAAGGATTGGGATGAAAAAATAAAGTTGAGTGAAAATTGCCAAGTGATAAATACAATATGACACCACAGATATCAATTATAAAACACTCAAAACTATGTTATTTAAAGACATGGTCAGGCGTGGTGGCTTATGCCTGTAATCCCAGCACTCCGTGAAGCCGAGGGAGGAGAATCGCTTAAGCCCAGGAGTTTGAGATCACTCTAGGTTATATAGGGAGACCCCATCTCTAAATAAAATTTAAAAATTAGCCAGGCATAGTGGTGCATGCCTCTGGTCCCAGCTTCTTGGGAGGCCAAGGCAGGAGGATCCCTGGAGCCCAGGAGTTCAAGGCTGCAGTGAGCTATGATTACACCACTGAACTCCATCCAGCCTAGGCAACACAGCGAGACCCTGTCTCAAATAAATAAATAAATAAAGAGACGTAAATATGTTCAAAGTAGAAAAATAAGAATGGGAAGGGTACACATGAATTTTAGGGAAGTGGCACCCCCTTTGAGGAGAGGGAAGAGGAATACATCTAGGGAGAACCACAAGGAAAAGGTTTCAACTGTACCTACAATGTTTTCTTTTTTTTCTTTTTTTGAGACAGAGTCTCACTCTGTTGCCCAGGCTGGAGTGCAATGGCATGATCTTGGCTCACTGCAACCTCCACCTCCCAGATTCAAGTGATTCTCCTGCCTCAGCCTCCCGAGTAGCTGGGATTACAGGTGTTAGCTACCACGCCCGGCTAATTTTTGTATTTTTAGTAGAGACGGAGTTTCACCATGTTGGCCAGCTGGTCTCGAACTCCTGACCTCAAATGATCCACCTGCCTCAGCCTCCCAAAGTGCTGGGATTACAGGCGTGAGCCACTGCACCAGGCATATAATGTTTTCTTTCTTTCCTCTTTCTTTTTTGTTTTTGAGACACAGTCTCACTCTGTTGCACAGACTGGAGTACAATGGCACGATCTCAGCTCACTGTAATCTCCACCTCCCGGGTTCAAGCATTCTCCTGTCTCAGCCTCCCTCATGAGTAGCTGGGATTACAGGCGCCTGCCACTGTGCCCAGCTAATTGTTTGTATTTTTACAAACAATTGTAAAAATTGTTTGTAACAAGAGGCAGGGTTTTGCCATGTTGGCCAGGCTGGTCTCGAACTCCTAACCTCAGGTGATCCACCTGCCTCAGCCTCCCAAAGTGCTAAGATTACAGGCATGAGCGACTGTGCCTGGCCATGTTTTATTTAAAAAAAAAAAAAAAAAATTAGAAATGAATAAGAAAAAATGTAAATAAAAAATTGTTAATTCTGAGCACTGGGTACCTGGCTGTTTCTGTACTATTTCTGGTGTATTTATGATTATTTCCTTTGTTTTTTTTTTTTTGAGACAGGGTCTTGTTCTATCACCCGGGCTAGAATGCAGTGGTGTAATTATAGCTTACTGCAGCCTCAACTTCCTGGGCTCAAGTGATCCTCCCACCTCAGCTTCCCAAGTAGCTGGTACTCCCGGCACCTGTCACCATACCCAGGAAATTTTCAAGTTTTTTGTAGAGATGGGGTCTCGCTATGTTGTCCAGGCTGGTCTCTAAATCCTGGGCTCAAGAGATCCTCTTGCCTCCCAAGTTTCTGGGAGCCTCCCAAAGTTCTGGGACTACAGGCGAGAGCCACTATGCCTGGCCATGATATTTCATAATAAAAATGATTACTAATGTGCTTAAAAGACAATTTATTTGCCACTTCACAAGTTAATGAGTCACTTGTCACGTGTGCAGGGACTGTCCCCAGATCCTACTGATTTAAGGCAATTCTTTCGCTGTGGCAGGAGACGTCAGGATTTCCTAAAAATGTCTCAATCAAATTAAAGAAAAATTTTGAAAAATACAAAGAAAATGAGCTGCTGAGGGTGGCAAAGGAAATGAAATACAATTTAGCACTGCACTCTTTGTCACTGCAAATGGAAAGGATGAGGTGGGAAGCTGAAGGCCTATATCTGACTTCTGCCTCTCATGACTTGTGAGATACTGGACAAGTTCTGTTGTCTCTAGACCACAGCAGTCTCACCTGTAGAAAATGGTGCTGGATTCAATCAGTGATTCTTGGGAATGCTTGCTGAAATGCAGATTCCTGGGCCCCAAGCCTAAAGATTCAGTAGGTCTGGGGTGGAGCCCAGGAATCTATTTTTTTTCCTTCTGCACCTGCTCCCAGGAATCTATATTTTTAATGGCCACTGCTGCGACCCTGATGCAGGTAGGCAGAACACAGACCAGCCTTTGAGAAACACAGGGGTAGATGACCTCCTGTTTTTTTTTTTTTTTTTTTTTTTTTTTGAGATGGAGTCTCACTCTGTCACCCAGGCTGGAGTGCAGTAGCGCTATCTCGGCTCACTGCAACCTCTGCCTCCCAGGTTCAAGCGATTCTCCTACCTGAGCCTCTCGAGTAGCTAGGATTACAGGCGTGCGCCACCATGCCTAGCTAATTTTTGTATTTTTAGTATAGATGGGGTTTCACCATGTTGGTCTGGCTGGTCTCGAACTCCTGACCTCGTGATCCACCTGCCTTGGCCTCCCAAAGTGCTGGGATTACAGGCATTGAGCTACTGCACCTGGCCTGACCTCCTGTTTAGACTTACAATTTTTGGACTTTACGATAATGTAAAAACAATATGTGTTCACCAGAAACCATGCTTTGAGTACATATGCAACCATTCTGTTTCTCATGTGACTACAGTCTTGTGAGATGTTCAACCTTTATTATGGAATAGGCTTTGTGTTAGATTATTTTGCCCAACTGTGGGCTAATGTAAGTGTCCTGAGCAAGTTTAAGGTAGGTGAGGCTAAGCTATAACATTCGGCAGGCTAAGTGTATGAAATGCATTTTCAACATACATTTTTAACTTAACATGGGTTCAACAGGATGTAACATTGTAAGTCAAGGAGCATCTGTATAATTTAACACTTGATGGAAAGTGAAAGTGTTATAAAATTGTAACAGGAAAATGGCTTGTAACAACAGGAGTGCAGAAATTAAATACAAGCCTTTTAGACTAGTAACACATTTTGTTTCACTGCATGTATCTGAAAAATATGAGCATAAATTAATATGTCAGGAAAATGAAAGGATGTCTGCTTTTGCCACTTCTATTCAACATACATGTTCTAGCCAGGACAATCAGATAAGAAAAAAGGCATCCAGATTGAAAAGGAAGAAGCAAAACTCTCTCTTCTTACAGATGAAATGACCTTGCATGTAGAAAATCATAAGGTCTAACTTTAAAATGATTAAGTAATAAATACATGGATCTGTTCAGCAATGTTGCAGCACACAGATCAATCACAAAAACAATCTGTATGTCTATATACTCGCAATGAACAATCTTAAAATTAAATTAGAAAAACAATTCCACTTACAACAGCATCAAAAAGATAACATAAGTATTTAATAATTTAACAAAAGAAGTGCAAGACTTTTATACTGAAAAATCAAACATCATTGAAGGAAATTTAATAAGACATGGATGTTCAAAGACTTAATACTGTTAACACGGCAATACTCCCCAGGTTGATCCACAGATAGAATGCAATCCCTGATGGGAATGTGAACTAGTACAACCACTATGGAAAACAGTGTGGAGATTCCTTGAAGAACTAAAGGTAGATCTACCATTTGATCCAGCGATCCCATTAGGAAAGTAAGTCATTATATGAAAAAGATACTTGCACATGCATGTTTATAGCAGCATAATTTGCAACTGCAAAAATATGGAACCAGCCCAAATGCCCATCAATCAATGAGTAAAGAAAATGTGGTATATATATATATACCATGGAGTACTACTCAGCCATAAAAAGAAACAAAATAATGGCATTCACAGCACCTGCGTGCAGTTGGAGGCCATTATTCTAAGTAAAGTAACTCAGGAATGGAAATCCAAACATCGTATGTTCTCACTCATAAGTGGGAGCTAAGCTATGAGGATGCAAAGGCATAAGAATGATACAATGGACTTTGGGGACTTGGTGGGGACAGGGTGGGAGGGGGTAGGAATAAGACTACACACTGGTTACAGTGTACACTGCTTGGGTGATGGGTGCACCAAAATCTCAGAAATCACCGCTAAAGAACTTATTCATGTAATCAAACACCACCTGCTCCCCCAAAACCGATTGAAATTATATATTTATTCATATATATGCATATATATATATGCAATCCCTTAAAACATTCCAGCTAGGTTTTCTTTTTTTTTTTTGCACAAATTAACAAGCTGATCATAAAATTCATATGGAAGTGCAAGAGACCCAGAATAGCCAATCAAGCTTGAAAAAGAACAAGGTTGGAGGATTCACATTTCCTAATTTCTTTTTTTTTTTTTTTTTTTTTTGAGACGGAGTCTTGCTGTCACCCAGGATGAAATGCAGTGGCAATCTCAGCTCAATGCAACCTCTGCCTCCCAGGTTCAAGCGATTCTTCTGCCTCAGCCTCTGGAGTAGCTGGGATTACAGGCGCCCGACACCATGCCTGGCTAATTTTTTTGTATTTTTAGTAGAGACAGGGTTTCACCATGTTGGTCAGGCTGGTCTCGAACTCCTGACCTCGTGATCCACCTGCCTCGGGCTCCCAAAGTGCTGGGATTACAGGAGTGAGCCACCGTGCCCAGCCTCCCAATTTCAAATCTTACTAAAAAGCTACATAATCAAGACAGTGTAGTACTGGTTAAAGACGCAGACACATAGATCAATGGAATAGAATTGAGAGTCCTCAAGTAAATCCTTACATCTACAGTCACTGATTTTCAACAAATGGGTGCTGGGACAACTGGATATCCACATGCAAAAGAATGAAGTTAAACCTCTATTTCATGCCATATATGAAAATGAACATGGATCCAAGACCTACGTATAAGTGCTAAAACTATAAAACTCTTGGAACTGTAAAACAAAGGCACAAATCTTTGTGACCTCACATTAGACAATAGTTCCTTACATATGACAGCAAAAACATGTGACAAAATTGGACTTCATCAAAATTTACAACTTTTGTGTGTTAAAGGGCACCATTTGCAAAGCATGTATCTGATAAGGGACTTGTATCCAGCATATATAAAGAACTCTTACAATTCAACAATAAAATAATTTTATAAATGGGCAAAGGATCTGAATAGATATTTCTCTAAAGATATACAAATGACTCTCTCTCCCCTCCTTTCCTCCCTTCTTCCCTCCACCCCTCCCTCCCTCACCACCTTCTCCCTCTCTCCACCCCTTCCTCCCTCACTTCCTCCCCCTCCTCCCTCCCTCACTTCCCACATCTAGTTCATATACCATAATAATTCACCCTGTTAACAGTGTGCAGCCTCAGCAATATGACAAAACCCTGTCTCTACAAAACATTTAATAATTAGCTGGGCATGGTGGCATGCACTTGTAGTCCCAGCTATTCGGGAGGCTGAAATGGGAAGTTCACTTGAGCCCGGGGAGGTCAAGGCTACAGTGAGCTGTGATCATGCCACTGCACTCCAGCCTGGGCAACAGAGTGAGGCCTCGTCTCAGAAAAAAAGAAAAACAACGAAACAAAAAAGGAAGATATACAAATGGCCAATAAGCACATGAAGAAAATGCTCAACATCATTAGTTATTATGGAAATACGAATAAAAATCACAATGAAATAACAATTTACACCCACTAGGATTGGTATATTTTAAAAGACAGACAATTTATTAAGTGTTGACAAGAATATGGAGAAACTAGAATCCTCATATACTGACTATGGAAATGTAAAGTGGGCTGCTGCTTTAGAAAACAACCTGGCAGTGCCTCAAGTGATTAAACACACAATTATATGACCCAGGTCTTCTACTCCTAGACATTTAAGAGAAATGGAAATATATGACCACACAAAAACTTGTACCTACATGTTTACTACAGAATTATTCATATTCAAAAAGTAGAAGCAATCTAAATGTCCATCCATTAATGAATGAATAAAATAGGGCATATCGATGCAATAGAATATTATATGATCATAAAAAAGAAGTACTGATACATACAAAATGGACAGACCTGGAACACATGTTACAGCAAAGAAACTGACACACAGAGTACGTACTGTGCATTTCCATTTATGTGAAATGTTCAAAACAGGCAAATCCATAGAGAAAGAAAGTGCATCAGTAGTTGTTAGGGGGTGGGGGGTTGGGGAGGTAAGAATGAGGAGTAACTGCTAATGGGTGTGGGGTTTCCTTTTGGGAGGTGGAGCCGGTTGTAGAACTCTAAGAATACACTAAAACCACTGAACCACTTTAAAAGGGTGAATTTTATCTGAATAAAGTTTTTTAAAAGACAAAAAAGAAAAAATCCTTTTCTCTCAAGTATAAAGATTAAGTATAAGACATTCAGTGTACTTTTCAAGTTTCAACTAGCAAACTTACCCTGAATAGTATATATAAAACCACCTGCAACTCCCTCCACACCTTCCAAGAATTCATGAGGCAATGCACCCTCCCCAGCCTGAAAGGAATAAGAATGTACTCAGTGATTCATTACTAAAAATACACTGATCATATTTTAAAATCGATTTGACAAAAATCATAATATGACTCCACTTGCAGCAGATAAATGCATGTAAGATGCTGGTGCACTGGAGGCTTATAATATCAGGATGACATACGGTATTCTACTATTTTTGTTATCTAATTACAATACTAAAGATAAGATATACCCAACATTCCATAAGGTGTTCAGAATTGCAACTTACATAGAATCATGTTTATGTACTTGCTACTCTAGTAGTACAAAAAGCAATTGATTTTACATCCCAACCCCACCACTTAAAAAAATATGTATTACGACCTTTGATTTTTTGGAAACTAAAAATTCTCATGAGTTCAAATACATCTTGGCATGCTTTAAAGTTAAGAGACCATGCAGAGAAAGGCTCAAAATTAACAGTCTGTTCCAAATATTCAAATTGAACTCTACTGTATATTGATTAAAAAAAAATTTTTTTTTAATTTTTAATTTTTCTTTTTTTTTTTTTTTCAAATAAGAGACAGTGTTTCACCATATTGGTCAGGCTGGTCTCGAACTCCTGACCTCAGGTGATCCGCCTGCCTCAGCCTCCCACAGTGCTGGGATTACAGGCGTGAGCCACCACACCCGGCCTAATTTCATTTTACAGACAGGGTTTCACTCTGATGCTCAGGCTGAGTGCAGTGGTGCAATGATATCTCATTCTAGCCTTGAACATACAATCTTCCCATCTCAGCCTTACAAGCAGCTAGCACTACAGGTGTGCACCACCATGCCCAGCTAATATTTATAAATTTTTTGTAGAGAAGAGGTCTCACTGTGCTGCCCAGGCTGGTCTTGAACTCCTGGGCTCAAGTGATCCTCCCGCCTCGGTCTCCCAAAGTGCTGGGATTACAGGTGTGGGCCACTGTGCCCAGCCTGTTGATGTTGTTGAAGGTGCTTAAGCCTATTGTGCCAGCAGCCAATGACAGTCCTTTCTACTTCTTAGAATGGAGAATCTTTTATTATTAAAGAGTTATCTCTCTTCAAAAGTTACCCAATGGCCTTACTCAGAGTGAACTGTTTTACTTCTGTATACAGTAAACCACTATGGTACATCTACCAGAGTATTGTCTGGCTGTTGTGGGCTAGATCAGACAGTTAAGAGTCCATACTCAGTGTATTTACAGTATTTTTTCTACACCTTCATTTAATCAAGAGAGCTACTGCTTGGCTATTCTTAAACAGATCTTTTCAGAGTTGTACTGTACAAAGCAATGTTTTAAGGCCAGTAGAACAAGTAATCTGAGGTCACTGTAGTAACTTGTCATTTAATTTAAAATATGTTTGTAGGCCAGGCGCAGTGGCTCACACCTGTAATCCCAGCACTTTGGGAGGCGGAGGCGGGCGGATCACGAGGACAAGACATCAAGACCATCCTAGCTAATACGGTGAAACCCTGTCTCTACTAAAAATACAGAAAAATTAGCTAGGCATGGTGGTGTGTGCCTATAATCCCAGCTACTCTGGAGGCTGAGGCAGGAGTATCACTTGAACCTGGGAGAAGGAGATTGCAGTGAGCCAAGACTGTGCCACTGTACTCCAGCCTGGGTGACAGAGTGAGACTCCATCTCAAAAAAATAAATAAAATAAAATAAAATAAAAGTTCGTAGCCAAATGTGAAAATTACTAAAGGGGCAGGCTATAGATTCCAACGTTGTAGTTCCATAAAAGACTGTATATGCTTTATTTGTTATTTACTTATTTACTTTTTTTTTTTTTTTTTTGAGACGAAGTCTTGCTCTTGTCCCCCAGGCTGGAGTGCGATGGCGTGATTTCGGCTCACTGCAACATCTGCCTCGGGGGTTCAAGCGATTCTCTTGCCTCAGCCTCTCAAGTAGCTGACAGTCGCCTGCCAGCACACCTGGCTAATTTTTGTATTTTTAGTAGAGACGGGGTTTCACCATGTTGGCCAGGCTGGTCTCGAACTCCTGACCTCAGGTGATCCGCCTGTCTCGGCCTCCTAAAGTGCTGGGATTACAGGTGTGAGCCACCGCGCCCGGCCTACTTATTTAGTTTTTTGAGATGGAGTTTCACTCTTGTCGCCCAGGCTGGAGTGCAATGGCGTGATCTTGGCTCACTGCAACCTCTGCCTCCCGGGTTCAAGTGATTCTCCTTTCTCAGCCTCTTGAGTAGCTGGGATTACGGGCATTAGCCATCACGCCTGGCTAATTTTTATATTTTTAGTAGAGACGGGGTTTCACCATGTTGGTCAGGCTGGTCTCGAACTCCTGACTTCAGGTGATCTGCCCAACTCAGCCTCCCAAAATGCTGGGATTACAGGCGTGAGCCACAGCACCCAGCCTATGCTTTATTTTTTATTGTATATTTCTATATTGTTTTGGCTTTAGAACTCAATAGTAATTTCTGTTTATTAACTTCTCTCTAAAAGGTCACAACTTGGCTTTTTGCCTTTAAAATTTTTCTGACATCACTTGCTGGCAAGGGAATAAAGCTTAGTGAAAACTCTCAGCTGTACGCATTTGTGATGAAAATCTTAATTTGTACCTGGGGTTTCTTAGCGTAGGCTTTAAAAAGTTACCTGGTTTTGTTTTTGTTTTTTTAGGTTAACTGTATGTTTAAGCTATCTTTAGCCCTCTATAATAATTTTTACTCCCAAAGGCAGATCATTTGAGTCTTTACATTTGAACCTAGTTCTCAACTCAGAAACCTACCTTTTTTTTTTTTTTTTTTTTTGCGACGGAGTCTCGCACTGTAGCCAGGCTGGAGTGCAGTGGCGCGATCTTGGCTCACTGCAACCTCCACCTCCTGGGTTCAAGCAATTCTCCTGCCTCAGCCTTCCGAGTAGCTGGGACTACAGGCACCCGCCACCACAGCCAGCTAATTTTTGTATTTTTAGTAGAGACGGGATTTCACCATGTTGGCCAGGCTGGTCTTGATCTCTTGACCTCGTGATCCTCCCACCTCAGCCTCCCGAAGTGCTGGGATTACAGGCGTGAGCCACCGCGCCCGGCCAATTTATTTCTTTTAGTGTAACCAATATTACAGAATTTTGGCATATGCTGGGTATTTTAAAGTTTCATAAATAGAAAAGGAGGCAAGATAATAAGGAAAGATATAATTCCATAAAACTTTCTATTTTCAGTAAAAAATTTTTCATAAGACTTAAAATGAACTTTAGTAAACAAGTGGTGTGTGTGTTTACTAAAGTAAACACCATCTTTATTGTCCTCCATTTACTTTATGAAATTTACCTGTCATAATAAATCCTAAATCCTAAACATGAATGAAATCCTAAACATGGCCTACAAATCTAAATGTATAACTACATATGAATCTATGGGTCTATTTGTTTAATGTCTTTCTTCCTCACTGGACTGTAAGTTCCACGGTGGGCCACTAGTATGTCTATTTTACCCTGCCATTGTTTCTGCCTTACCACAGGTATGCAGGAAATGTTTTTTGAATGAGTAATAACGTAGCATATATTCATTTCAACTCAGAAATTAATCCATGTAAATGAGGTTAATATTCATTCACTAAGCTTGTGAATTTAAATGCCAAGTACATTCCTAATCATTGGACAGGAGATCGAGGAGAATAAAAGATTGTCTATGATTCCACCGTACAGACCGTTTGTTTACTAAAGTTCATTTTAAGTCTTCATATACCTGCTTTATTGACCTATATTTACTTTGAGAAATTCACCTGTCAAACTGTTTTAAATTTAAAGCAAAGCCGAATGAGAAATATGAGAGTCAGAAATCCCAGAGTTGCTTCAGCAAAATAAATGAAAGTACTCAATCTTATTTTCTATTTTTTTTTGTTTTGTTTTGAGATGGAGTCTCGCTCTGTTGCCCAGGTTGGAGTGCAGTGGCATGATCCTGGCTCACTGCAACCTCCACCTCTGGGGTTCAAGCAATCCTCCCACCTCAGCCTCCCAAGTAGCTAGGATTACAGGCATGCACCACCAGGCCCAGCTAATTTTTTTTTTTTTTGGATTTTTAGTAGAGACGGGGTTTCACCATGTTGGCCAGGCTGGTCTTGACCTCCTGACCTCCAGTGGTCCACCCACCTTAGCCTCCCAAAGTGCTCGGATTACAGGCATAAGCCAGCACACCCCGCCTTATTTTCCAATATTTTTATCTATAGTAGTTTTTTTTGTTTGTTTGTTTGTTTTGAGACAGAGTCTCACTCTGCCACCCAGGCTGGAGTGCAGTGGTGTGATCTCAGCTCACTGGAACTTCTGCCTCCTAGGTTCAAGCAATTCTCATGCCTCAGCCACCTGAGTAGCTGGGATTCCAGGCATGCGCCACCATGCCTGGCTAAGTTTTTGTATTTTTAGTACAGATGGGGTCTTGCTATGTTGCCCAGGCTGGTGTTAAACTCCTGGCCTCAAGTGATCCACCTGCCTCAGCCTCCTAAAGTTCTGGGATTATTGGCATGAGCCACCGCACCTGGCTAATTATAGTATTTTAACTGAGGTTTTATTTTCAAGGTGAGATAGTAAATACTCTGAATACTACTGAGCAAGTATTCTTAAAGAATGCTAACTTAAAAATTACTGAGAAATAGGCCAGGTGCAGTGGCTCATGCCTGTAATACAGCACTTTGGGAAGCGTAGGTGGGCGGATCACTTGAGCCCAGAAGTTTGCAACCAGCCTAGGCAACATGGTGAAACCCCATCTCTACAAAAAACACAAAAAGTTAGCTGGGTGTAGTGGTGCGCACCTGTAGCCCCAGCTACATGGGAGGATTGTTTAAGCCAGGAGGTGGAGGCTGCAGTGAGCTGTGATCGTGCTAGTGCACCCCAGCCTGTGCAACAAAGTGAGACCCTCTCAAAAAAAAAAAAAAAAAGAGAAATAAAATATTGCATTTTAAAAATGCATCAATCTTAAAGCAAAACTGTAAACTCACTAATGCTGGAGTTACAGGATCATATTTGAGTTTTTGCCTTTACTATGAAGACAACAACATTTGCTACTATATATGTTGTAAAACACACAAGAATCATTGCTCCATGCTGCCTGGGCTCTAAGGTAAATTTTAGAACAATTTTATATATTAAAAAGAAGCTAAAATATGCAATTAAACCTTAAAAAAAAACGACTTACTGTAATGACTCTGAGAACTCCCCCTCCATCATTCACTGTCACTTTGTGGAGATTTCTTGACACAAGGCCGTGGAGGTCTTGGCTCTCCCACACGATTGTACCTTCAAAGCTCTTTTGTAGAAAGATGAATAGTGAGTCAATTTCCTTATTGCTGTCATTTAGGTTTTAAGTATGCTTTCAGGCAAGATTTTTAGAGAAAATTTTTCCCAAAACGTATCATTTAAAATTTTCACCCCATAACTCTGACATACCACTGTTAGCGTTTGGTGTGTATCCTTGACCGTTTTTTCCATGCACATATAAAAAACCAATTACAAAGAGTATATACACAATTTTGCATACTGCTGTTTGCCATTTCCCATTGTATCAAAAGCATTTCCTTATGTTGTTGCAGCTGTCACAGCCATTCTTCCTCATGTGTGTATAACATCCCAATGAGCAGATACACCCTGATTTACTCATTTTCCCCTACTATTAGACATTTGGTTGCTACTAAATGTCTACTAAAATATCTACTAAGTATCTACTAAAATAATGTAGGCATGTTTTGGTGTACATGTTTATTTACTCCTAACAATTTGTTTTGTACTTACATTCCCAGAGTGAAATTACTGGGACAAGAAAGAGATATTTTTATGGATTTTGGTATACACCGCCAACTGCTTTTTGAAAGCAACTTTTACTAATTTATAGGGTTATCAGCAATGTATGAGAATGACAACTGCACTGTATTCTCCCTGGTATGGGATACTAGTAAACAAAAGTTTAACCTAATATACTAGATTTTTACAAAATGATTCCTTATTTAGTTGGATTTATTTTTCAGTTTTTGACACAGAGCCTCGCTCTGCCACCCAGGCTGGAGTGCAATGGTGCGATCATGGCTCACTGCAACCTTCACTCTCCAGGTTTAAGCGATTCTCTTGCTTCAGCCTCCCGCGTAGCTGGGATTACAGGCGCTCACTATCACGCCCGGTTAATTTTTGGATATTTAGTAGAGACAGGGTTTCGCCATGTTGGCCAGGCTGGTCTGGAACTCCTGACCTCAAGTGATCTGCCCACCCTGGCCTCCCAAAGTGCTGGGATTACAGGCATGAGCCACGGCGCCCTGCCTGAATTTAAAAAAAAAAAAAAAAGATTGGCTTAGTTGGATTTCTGATTCCTAGTGATGTTTATGAATTGCATGTTCTCTTCTGAGGACTGCCTTATCATGCTGCTTTGCCATCTGCCCTCTGAGTTTTCTATTTTTCTTGTTCATCTATGCAAGCTTTTAATAAAGTAATTATCTTAATCCTGTGCACATTTTATATGCTAAAATAGTTTTTCATTTGCTACTTAATGCTATTTTTGAAATTCAGAAGTCCATAAATTTCACCTTGGCAAATCTGACAAACTTTTCCTTTGTGATTATTACTATTAAATTCTGAGCTGAGAGAGCTATGCCCCCCTGTCCCAAGGTCTGATATATATTGAAATCTTAATGTCTTCTAATTTCTCCATGATCCCATTTTTAATTCTGTGCACAGCTGGCTCCTTAGTCCTGCTCAGGTCTCAGCTCCACTACCTTCTCCTCCGAGAGGCTTTCTCCAGATGTCCTCCAGAAGGCTCCAACTCCCAACTTCTATCACATCAACCTGTTTTATCTTATTAATACCATTTATCACTCTGATATTTCTTATTTTATTTTATTATTAAACTAACTGCCTCTACTAGAAGACAAACACCTTGAGAACAGGAAGGAGCTTGCCTGATCAACCACTGCATCCCCAGCATCGAGCCTGGCCTGACATGACTGACAACTCAAAATGTTTGCTGAATAAATAATGTTGAACTAAAAATCAACCAGAATTGACTATAGTATAGAGGATTAAATGAAAGATATACCTCTAATACTCTAAAAACTTTCATGTTAAAATGAAGGGATAAAGTACTTTACAATAATGTCTCATTTTAGCCAGCAGTATAGGGAAACCATACAAAATTCAATTTGATAAGCTAGGTCAGTGGTTTATAAACATTTTTTTCCCTCTGCACAGAGTGATATAAACTTTTTCTTTTTTTTTATTTTTATTTTTTTGAGACGGAGTCTCACTCTGTAGCCCAGGCTGGAGTGCAGTGGCGTGATCTCTGCTCACTGCAAACCCCACCTCCCAGGTCCTGGTTCAAGTGATTCTCCTGCCTCAGCCTCCCAAGTAGCTGGGATTACAGGAATGTGCCACCATGCCTAGCTAATTTTTGTATTTTCAGTAGAGATGGGGTTTCACCATGTTGGCCAGGCTGGTCTTGAACTCCTGACCTAGTGATCTGCCTGCCTCAGCCTCCCAAAGTGCTAGGATTACGGGCGTGAGCCACCGCCCAACCTTTCCCTTCCTTTCTTTCCTTTTTTAAAATAAATAATATTTTTTTCCTCCTCCAAAACAGATAAAAATATTCCAAGAGTCCGGATTCCTCAGGCAGTTTATCGCTCTGTATTCAGCTAATGTATTTTCTTCTAAAACTTTAATAGTGATAGAGTTTGGAAGGATTGATAGCATATATACTTAGGATAAGGAACTGATAGGACTTGGTGAGTACCTGGACATGAGAGTGACGATAACTCTCATGATTCTGGTTTAGGTGACTTGAGGAAAAGGAGATGGTTACCCAAGATTAAAAATACAGGCGATGAGAACAGATGGGATGGAGACAATGTTACCATTAGAATGCCCATGGGACATTCAAGTGGAGAAGTTCAGGAGGCAACTCAAAGCATGTCTGGAGTTCACAAGAGATGCTGGGGCTGTAATTATAGATTTAACAGCCTTCAGCATACAGGCAGTAATGAATGAAATTGCCTGGGAAGAATGAGTAAAATAAAACAGAAGGCTAGGTAGCAAATCCTAATGATTAATATTTAAGAGGAAAGCAAAAAGGAAATAATGAATCATACCAAAAGTAAAAACTATAGTGACCAGATAAAAATCCTCACCTTGAAACTACAAATCTAGAAAAGATGATGATAAAACGAGTAATTCTCTGTACTGTCCATTCAATTGACATGACATGTGACATGCTATTTCACAGTGGGTCCTTCCTGGCACCCAACTCCATTTTGTCTGTGACTAGGCTATGATACAACAAACAAATTCAATGAATAATTGAATGTGTTACCAGAAAAATTCCCTAGTCCTCCCAAATCATCTTGACTTACTCATGGAACTTAAATAACCCATCAGCTGTTTTGTTACTAAGCAAGGAAGAAGCTTTATCTTCCACCTATCTCCTAAACCTGTTTCTGCTCCACAACACAGTTTAATTTCTATTCCTCACCTCTGCTCTCATACACCTACTTTTTATTCTGATGTAAGGCAATTATGAAGCCAGGTATCTCTTAAGATCCAAAACAACTTGTTTATGGCAATTCCCTTACTAAGATCATAAAAACCAAAATAAAAGTTGGGAAAAAATAGCATGATACAGGTTGGAAAAATGAGATATCATATCTATCTCTCCCATAACATAAGCAAGCTGTCTGTAACTCCTTTCACGCATCAACTCTTTTCCATAAAGCTTCTAATTTCTCATCCAAACAACAGAGTAGCTTAAATATATACAGTACTTCTGTGCCTATAAACATTAACAACTTCTTGTGGATTGGAGAAATGACTATATATAAAGAATTTCAACCTTCACAAAAAATAAGGATATAGGCTGGGCACGGTGGCTCACACCTGTAATCCCAGCACTTTGGGAGGCCGAGGTGGGTGGATCACCTGAGGTCAGGAGTTCAAAACCAGCCTGGCCAACATGGTGAAACCCTGTCTGTATTAAAAATAAAAAAAATTAGCCAGGTGTGGTGGCAGGCACTCGTAATCCCAGCTATTCAGGAGGCTGAGGCAGGAGAATCATTTGAACCTGGGAGGTGGAGGTTGCAGTGAGCCAAGATTGAGCCATTGCACTCCAGCCTGGGCAACAGGAGTGAAATTCTGTCTAAGGATGTAAGCGTCCATAATGCTAACAATAACGTCGCTAGTGACTTAGGTGAACAAAAATAGTCTGCTTTTTACTGAAATTAGTTACAGGTTCCAACTGTACCATTAAGGACAACATAAAATTAGAGACATATATATATATATATATATATATATATATATATATATTTTTTTTTTTTTTTTTTTTTTTGAGACGGAGTCTCGCTCTGTCTCTGTCACTCAGGCTGGAGTGCAGTGGTATGATCTTGGCTCACTACAACCTCTGCCTCCCAGGTTCAAGTGATTCTCCTGCCTCAGCCTTCTGGTAGCTGGGACTACAGGCATGCGCCACCACACCTGGCTAATTTTTTGTATTTTTAGTAGAGATGGGGTTTCACCATGTTAGCCAGGATGGTCTGGATTTCCTGACCTCATGATCCACCCGCCTCGGCCTCCCAAAGTGCTGGGATTACAGATGTGAGCCACCACGCCCAGCCAAAACATAAATATTTTAAGAGAAACACACAGTAGTCTTCACTTGTGAAGAATCACTTGTGACGCCCACTGAGATTTATGCTTCAGTGAGCTACACAATGAAAACCTTACAGGCGACCTGCTTACTGGACAAGCTATACTGGGGACATGTGACTCCAGGCAATCACCAAGTGTGGAGGGAATACGATGATGAACTTCCTCTCGCAAATGGAATACACTACCTACTTCTCTTCTGTTACTCTTTGCTGATGATATGCCAGCAAACAATCACTATCATTCTTCCGAGCAAACAAACCCAATCAGCCTTGATGCAGTAAAAAAAAGGATTTAAAATTAAACATATTTTCAACACAAATAGAATTTTGTACAACAGGAGAGAATTTTTTTAATTGCTAAAAGTTTATTTTTTCTTTCTATTATATAAAGCTAATATATGTTTATTATGGAACATTTAGAAGATAGATATACAAAAAGAAGAAAATTAAAATCATCCATAATCTTAGCTCCCCACCAGGTATAGCCACTATTAAATAATTGCTTGCTTTTTGTGTGTGTGGTTATTTTTGTTGTTTGAATAGGGACTGGGTTTCATCAAGTTGCCCAGGCTGGTCGTCTCAAACTCATGGGCTCAATGATCTGCCCGCCTCGGCCTCCCAAAGTGCTGGGAGGATAAGCCTGAGACACCACACGTGGCCTGCTTGTTTTTTAAAAGAAAAAATATTATACAAAATTAATAAAGGTAATAAAATCAAGTCTATTTAGCCTAAAGCCTGAAGGGAGATAAAAAGCACAAGGCTATAGTCATTAAAACTCTTAATAACTAGACCTGGTGGCCAGGCGCAGTGGCTCATGCCTGTAATCCCAGCACTTTGGGAGGCCAAGGCAGGCGGGCGGATCATGAGATCAGGAGATCAAGACCATCCTGGCTAACACGGTGAAACCCCGTCTGTACTAAAAATACAAAAAATTAGCCAGGCGTGATGGCACACGCCTATAGTACCAGCTACTCAGGAGGCTGAGGCAGGAGAATTGCTTGAACCCAAGAGGCAGAGGTTGCAGTGAGCGGAGATCATGCCACTGCACTCCCGCCTGGGTGACAGAGCGAGACTCCGTTTCTAAACAAACAAACAAACAAACAAACTAGACCTGGTGTGGTGGCTCAAGCCTGTAATCCTAGACCTTTGGGAGGTGAGAGGATTGCTTGAGGCCAGAAGTTCAAGACCAGCCTGCCAACATAGCGACACACCCATCTGTACAAGAAATAAAAAATTTAGGCCAGGCGTGGTGGCTCATGTCTGTAATCTCAGCACTTTGGGAGGCCAAGGTAGGTGGATCACCTGGGGTCAGGAGTTCGAGACCAGCCTGGCCAACATGGTAAAATCTTGTCTCTACTAAAAAATACAAAAATTAGCCGGTGTGGTGGCATGTGCCTGTAATCCCAGCTACTTGAGAGGCTGGGGCAGGAGAATCACTTGAACGTGGGAGGCAGAGGTTGCAGTGAGCCAGAATCATGCCAGTGCACTCCAGCCTGGGTGACAGAGCAAAATGCTGTCTCAAAAAAAAAAAAAAGATATAAAAAATTTAGTTGGGTCTGGTGGCAGGTGCCTGTAGTCCCAGCTACTCATGAGGTTGAGGTAGGAGAATCATTTGAGCCCATATGGTTGAGGCTGCGGTGAGCTATGATCATGCCACTGGACTCCTGCCTGGGCAGCAGAGCCAGAGCCTGTCTCAAAAAAAAAAAAAATAAGTAAATAAAAATTAGGGGAAAAAAAAGTCTTAATAACTACAAAGGTAACTCACTATTTTGGCTGAGTACTTCCCATCATTAGTACCCACTGCCAGATATACCATCCTGAACACAAGCAAGGAAGGTTAACCCCTCTCCCCCAACCCAATTTTTATTTTGAAAAGCTTCAAACCTATAGAAAAGTTCAAATCACCATTCAAATCACCTAGACTCACCAACTGTTCACATTTTGCCACATTTGCCTTTTTGCTCTCTCTCCACACACACTTTTCTGTTGTTGGATCACTTAAAAATACAGATATCATGAATTTTTAACTTTAAGTATTTCAGCATGTATTTCCTAAGAACAAGGACATTCTAAGCGAAAATAATATTTTTTATGAACTAATCAAAATTTGCAATTCTTTCTATAAGGCTGACCAAGATAATGGAACAGACTCCATAAAACTGCGATTAGCTTGAAGCATTAAAGTTCATTTTCTTCCTCTTTGCTGCACCCCATGTGACTTTCTTTTGGAATACAGTTTCTCAACCTCAGCACCAATGACATTTTGGGCCAGATAATTATTTGCTGGGGCGGGGGTGGGGTGGTGTCCTGTGGCTGCAGGATGTTTAGCAGAATCCCTGTCCCTTTACCCACTAGATGCCAGTATCACCCTACATCCAGTTTTAACAACTGAAAGTGTCTCTATACACTGCTCTGTGCGCGGAGGGCAAATTGCCCCTGGTGAAGAAACACTGCTCTTAAAGAATAGGACCCCCTCAATCCAGATGAGGAGTATAATGATAATGACAACATCTATTGATCTACTGAATGCGTGGCATATGGCAGCATGTTCTAAGCAGTCTACGTGTGTTAAATCATTTAGCCCCCAGAATAACCATCTGAAATGGGTGGTGTAGCACCTTCATCTTAGAGGAGGAAATAGACACAGTGAGATTAAGCACCTCATGTGAATGAACAAACCAAAGAATGGCTTCCTGCAAAAACTGAGATCCAACACTATGTATCTGAACCACTATTCTTTTTTTTGAGATGGCGTCTCTCTGTGGCCCAGGCTGGAGTGCAGTGTTGCAATCTTGGCTCACTGCAACCTGTCCCCCGGGTTCAAGCGATACTCCTGCCTCAGCCTCCCGAGTAACTGGGATTACAGGAGCCTACCACCGCACCCAGCTAATTTTTGTATTTTTAGTAGAGACGGGGTTTTGCCATCTTGGCCAGGCTGGTCTTGAACTCCTCACCTTGTGATCCACCCGCCTTGGCCTCCCAAAGTGCTGGGATTACAGGTGTGAGCCACTGAGCCCGACCTGAACCACCATTCCTGAAGTAAAAGGTAACTTTGATGGTACATACTGCACTTAAAAAGGAAAAAAGTTCATATGTGAAATTAATAAAAGGATGTAGGAAAACAGGCACTCTCATATATTGCTAATGATTGTTCACACTGATACAAATTGCTAAACTCCCCTCCAGGAAGGAATCATCTGACTTAAAAATGTGTATACCCTTCGACCCAACAATTCATCCTAAGAAAATAACCAGTTATACACATAAAACAGAGGTGCGGTGATATTTACTACAGTCTTTTCCATAACACCGAAAAATTGAAACTCTATCAACACCCAAATACAGAGTTAAATGACAATACTTTCATACAATGTAATTCTATATAGCCATTACAAATAATAGAGCACATCAAAAGATGTTCGTGATATGTTAAAGTAAGTAAATTATAAAGTAGAATGAACGGCATAATCCTAGCAACTATAACACATAGAAGCAAAAATGTTAAATGTGATTATCTCCAAATATGAGATTCTAGTAGTCTTGTTTTCCTTTAGCATATCTGCATTTTCCTTTTTTTCCACCCCTGTTTTAGTTTGGCTTTTATTTAAAAGTCGTTTTGTTTTTTTTAATTTATTTTTTGACTGCTTTTGCGGAGCAGGCTATCCTATAAGCAGTATGCTGAGAGTAGCGTATTCAGAAGTTTTTAAAATGGAGGTTCAGATACAAATGAAAAGGAGATCCCTTTGACACTGACAGAATTAACATATAGTTTCAACTACTTGTACTCAATTCCAAAGACCCATAGTATGTTACAAAAATGTGTGGTTCCTATTGCTGAACACATTGTGAATGGCACACCACAGAATGGGTAGGAAAAAGTTTCTTGGTTAGTCACCAGGGCCGGTCAGTTGTCTAGCCTCCACACCTTAACCCAGCTGAGATGCTGCGGGATGAACTCTATAGGTGATCTAAAGTGAATCCCAGAGATGTCTAGGAAACTGACCCCGATTGTGGTTCCAGAGCACTGAGTTCAGGAATGTACTCGGCCTAGACTAAAACAGCCTAGAAAGGCTGAAGCTGATGAATGAATAATTTGTTATGTCTGATCCTGATTCTGTCACACTCTGCGACCATACTGTGTGGCTTAACTCCAGGACTAATGAGGGCACCTGGCAGGCGAGGCATTCTTTAGTGCATATCTAGTTATGACTGGACCTAGAGGGACCCAGAAGGTGACAGGTACATTTTCAGGCTATCATCCACAACTGTTCACCCTTTGGAGAAATTTTATTTAACTTGGAAACATGGCCCATCTCTATCATTAACCTGTCTGCACTGACTTTTTTTTCTTTTCATTCTTTAGATAAGCAAATTATTTAATTTTTACCCAAATGGTATCTCTGTCTGGTCTTTCCATCAATCCACACCCAACATCATCCTTTGTCATTAAAACAATTGTGTAGTTCTCTACTCCACTAAATAAACTACGGAAACATGCAATGTTTTTCAAAAAGTGGTTTTGGAACCTCTGAGGCCTCATGAAGTCCTCAGGAGGTTTGAATACAGAGTGCTATGTTTTAGCCCATCCACAGTTGGTACCTTCATCTATCACTCTGGAGTGCTGCCCTGGTACAAGAAAATATCAAGTGCCTGCCCCTGAAAGCACACGCCCACTCCTATGAAGGACTGCATTGGTACTACAGTCTTTTCCTGCCATCCTGTACCTCTGGTAAGATGAATTGTTCCACGGGCTTGTACCACAGCTTGTTCACCTGCACACCACAGCTTGGAGGACTGAAGCGAGCAATGAAGAGGGCCTCCTACAAATTGGGAGAAAAAGACAAGAAAAAATACTTCATGTTATACATTGCATATGCAAAAAGTTTTCAAACACCTTACTTCTTGGTCAGCTAAATCCACAATGGCCCTAACCACGGTCACTAACATGGTTCTACTGTGGTTTTGGCATCACTGGGTTTTCTAGTGCAGTCATGGTTATTAAATAACGATATTTAAGGTAATCAAAGTTGTCACGAAATTCTCAAATGCTAAACATAATCCACATAACCTTAAAAAAAAAACCCACCTTGAAAGAAAAAATATTCAGGGAAGTGAGCAGTGTTGTTAAATTAAGCCAACACATTATAGTGTCAACACTCCCCCAAAGGGTTAAAACTAAACTGAAAGACACAGATTTTTACTGGGAACAAAAGCACTCAGGAAACTCCGTTCAAAAAGAATCTTCAGAAGAAAATATAAACAAAACAAAAAAGGGAATATAAAAGAGGACTGGAGCCAGGTGCAGTGGCTCACGCTTGTAATCCCACCACTTTGGGAGGCTGAGGCAGGCAGATCACTTGAGGTCAGGAGTTCCAGACCAGCCTGGCCAACATGTGAAACTCCAAATTTCTACTAAAAATACAAAAATTAGCTGGGTGTGGTGGCAGGCACCTGTAGTCCCAGCTACTTAGGAGGCTGAAGCAGGAGAATCGCTTGAACCCAGGAGGTGGAGGCTGCAGTGAGCCAAGACTGCACCACTGCACTCCAGCCTGGACCGCAGAGCCAGACTCTGTCTCAAAAAAAAAAAAAAAAAAAAAAAAAAAAAAAAAAAAAAAACCGGACTGATTTTCACTATGTCTATCGTTTTCTTGGGTTCTCCCATTTCTTCCAGGCAACATTTCCTCATTCTCATGCCTATTCTTATATACCAACTTAACCATAGGGGAAACTTCTGTTAAGCTCTTAAAACCATGCAGGGGTTCAAAATTAAGCACATTTCAATGGATTATGTCTATTTCTTTCATGAACACCAGTTCTTAGCAATGCAGTATAAGAATAGTTTTTGCATCGTGACTACCCATGAACCCATTAGCATCCATCTTAGACTAGTCCTTCCTTGAGGACAAAGATTAACTCCTCCCTGGTTAAAAATATGGCAACTAGAAGTTATATCGACATGATCAAAATATTGTATGTCTGAACCAAACTACTTGATTGATAACTCGCACACTATAAATAGTTTTGTTTTTTGAGACAGTCTCACTCTGTCACCTAGGCTGGAGTGAGTGGTGCAATCACGGCTCACTGTAATGCAGCCTCGACCTCCTGGGCTCAAGTGATCCTCCCACCTCAACCTACCAAGTAGCTGGGACTGTAAGCAAATGCTACCATGCCTGCCTATTTTCTTAATTTTTTGTAGAGATGGGGTCTCACTGTATTGCCTAGGCTGGTCTCTAACTCCTGGGCTGAAGCAATCCATCTGCCTTGCCCTCCCAAAATGCTGGGATTACAGGCGTGAGCCATTGCGCCTGGCTGATAGTTTTTTTTTTAAACTATATATACTAAGATAAACAAGTGTATCAAAAAAATTCAAGATTAATTCTAATTTCTAGATAACAGTGATACTCAGAGTACTGCTATTTCAATTACCTATTTGATCTTCAGTATCAATGAAACTGTTAACTACAATCATATATGGACTCCTATAGTTGAGTATACAAAGCTCTTCTCACTAATCATTATAGCTGGCATCATCAGTAGAAATCCTACTCTTCCCTCTGTCTTATATTTATGTCTATAAACACATCAACAAACGAGACAGATTATTTAGAGGAAGAACAGGGCAAATTCCAAAAAAGAAATTTAATCTCAAATTTATTTGTGTATTTATTGATGAGTCTCTAACATTATATTCATTGCTAATAATCAACATTAATAATACAAACACATTTTAAAAAACTGAACAGAGTTCTGCTGCCAGTAATATCAGACCAATTCTCCTATAGATAGTAACTATGAACTCTGGATGAAACATAAAAAACAATGATTTGAAGGCACTGGAATTCAAACAAACAGGCAGAAACTAGAGAAGAATCAGTACTTGGAAGAAGGAAAAGGCTCCAAATATGCATCTCCTCCCTACCCCACTTCTTGACTCTTTGTCTGAGGATACAACTCTAGGGTAACTAGAAATTTGAATGAAAATCTGTAGTCTTTCTGCTTGAAAATTAAGAGGACAGAGTTGGGGCAAACACATCAATTAATAAAAGGCATTAGGGGGAACCTCCCAGAAAGGAAAGGATCACAGAGAGAGAGAACCACAAATTCTTCATATAAACTCTACCCAAATCTGTGGCTGACTCATGAAATACACATACAAGGCAGAACCCAAGTAGCCCATCCAAGGCCAGAGAAACTGAATAGAGATTTTAGCTGTTTCTCACTGCAAGTGAGACAATGTTTAGTCTGTGTCCAGCCAATTTAGCTGCCTGCTAAAACAAAAAAAAAAAATCAATACTCTGAGGAATATAATAGGATCCAGAGTTCCTACAATGAATTATTTACAATATCTAGGATACAATGCATGAGTAGCATGTAGTCCCAGCTACTCAAGAGGCTGAGATGGGCGGATAGCTTGAGCCCAGGAGTTTAAGGCTGCAGTGAACCACGACTGTGCCACTGCACTCCAGCTCAGGTAAAAGAGCGAGACCCTGTCAAACAACAACAAAAAAACCGAAACCCAAACCAAAAAACCCCCCAAAATACTAGACATAAAACAGAAAAATGTTACCCATATTTTAGAGGAAAGATAATAATCAATAAAGACAGACGCTGAGATGACTCAGAATAAGCGTACACAGATTTTAAAGCTGCTGTTATAACTATGGTCAAAGCTGTAGAGAAAAATATTCTCAAACAATGAACACATAGGAAATTTTAGAGAAATAGAAACAGTAAAAAAGAACTAAATGGAAACTGAAGCACTAAAAAGTATAATATTTAAAATAAATCTAAAATAAAAAATTCATTGGATAGGCTTAACTTCAGATTTGAGATGACAGAAGAGTCACTAAACTTGAATACAGATGAACAGAAGTTATCTACATTAGAAAAGAGAAAAAACACTGAAAAAAATGAACAGTCTTGTGATCTGCAGGACAATACCAAAAGATCTAACATACATGTAACTGGAATCCCAGGAGGAATAGAGAGAGCGAGCGAAGTCAGAAAAGGTTCTGAAGACATTAATAGTTGAAAATCCCCCAAATTTGGTAAAATACATACATTTACAGATTGAAGAAACATGTAGCACGCCCTGAATAAAACAGACAAAGAAAAAGCACACCAGGCCTGGTGCGGTGCCTCACGCCTGTAATCCCAGCACTTTGGGAGGCTACTTGGGAGGCTGAGGCAGCACTCTGGGAGGCCGAGAAGGGCAGATCACTTGAGGTCAGGAGTTTGACACCAGCCTAGCCCACATGGCAAAATCCCATCTTTACTAAAAATACAAAAATTAGCCAGGTGTGGTGGCATGCACCTAGAATCCCAGCTACTTAGGAGTAATAAACCAAATACAGGAAAACGTTAATTGTTGTAGAATGTAGTTAGTGGCTATAGGGTTTACTGAATAATTCCTTCAAGTTTTCTTCATGTTTAAAACTAAAAAACAGATCCTTCAAATACATTTCCATGCTGCTACTTCACATGCACTCTGTGAACAAATCAGATTTCCCTACATATCGGGAATAGAGAAACCTCACTGGTTTTCTGTTTTCTGTAAAAGAATAACTTTTATTCCCTCTATATCCTTATTACAAAAAAGATTTGAAGCAGTTATTAGCCTTGTATTACAGACTTCTACAGTTGGAAGTAAGAGGCAATAATACTCACTTATCCTAAGAATCCTAAACTTTTTTTATATCCATTACCAACTTTTGAAATTCCCTAGGTTTTAGGGAATTTTAGGTTGGAGATTTCTAATCTAGTCAACTCCTTCTCTTCTAGATATAGCACATTTATTCACAGATAATCTATCCCCAAACCAGTCTTATATCACACTACAGTGTATTTAGTCAATAGGGGAAGAAAGGTGAAAGTCTCTCAACCAGAGAGAATTATATAGTCTTCCAATCTACTTACTGTATGTCACAAGGAAAAGTTGATGTTTTTGAAAAAGAAAAAAGAGAAAAAACCTGTACAGAGCAGTGCATACCTCTTGTTCTGCCTGATAAAGTTTGACAGTGATGTTCCTCTGGAAACCCACATCATTGGCATCGTAGAACACTCCAAGACTGGTAATAACGATGGGGTAGAGAACTCGGAAACTCACGCTGACAACTCGATCCTCAGGCAGCCCCGATGAAGTGTCTTCGGACAGACTGAACGCTTCAATTTCCTGATTCAAAACTAAGTAATGAGAACAGGTTTATATAACTGAACAAATGTAATCCTTTGTTTTACTAGTAAGAAGTAGTGAAGTGGGCTTAATGCCAAAACCTAGGTAATCATTTGCTATATAATTCACAAATGGCAGGAATTTTTAAAAAATGCTTGAGAAAAATGGCTGCTTCTATATAAACATTTTTGAAATTTAAGAATAAAGTTTTCAGCCACATCTAAGTAAGTTAATTATCAGAACTGCTTTAATAGCTTTTTGCATAAATGTGTGCATATATATGTATAAACGCCACAGGAGATATTAAATTTAAGTCAACTGGAAGGCATCTATTTGGAAGGGTTGGATAAATAGAAATAAGAAAAACAGTACTGACTGTAGTCATAAATAATCAGTAAATTTGGTCTTACTGTGCAAATTCCAAAAATCCTACTTCTTGTTAGGCAATTTAAAATACTTGTGATACATCAGGCAATTATTACGGTATAAATAAGCAACTGAAGTCACTTCAAATAACACTGAAAAACTCTTGCTGTACAGCACTGATAAAAGATAAGCATATCAAACACAGTTTTGAACCATCTTCTATGTACCATTTCCCATCACATTTATATCTTCACTACTACCCTTGTGGTTGTGGCATTATCTCCAGTTTACATATTAAGAAACTGAGGCCCAAAATTAAGCAATTCACCTAAGGTCATAGAAAGTGGCAGATCCAGGAATCAAGTCCCATTTAGTGATTCCAAAGTCAGTCCCCTTTCCACTCCCTCACAGCTGTCTAATCAGTGCCAAAACAGTTCAAATAATTTTTCTTTTATTTCTTTTTTTGAGACAGTCACCCAGTCACCCAGGCTGCAGTGCAGTGGCATGAACATGGCTTATTGCAGTCTCAACCTCCTTTGCTCAAGGGATCCTCCTGCCTCAGCCTCCTGAGTAGCTGGGACCGCAGGCACACACCACCAGGCCTTGCTAATTTTTTGTAGAGATGGGGGTCTCATCATGTTACCCAGGCTGGTCTTGAACTGCAATCCTCCCGCCTCAGCCTCCCAAAGTGCTGGGATTACAGGCATGAGCCACTGTGCCCAGCCTTCAAATAAATTTTCTAATTACCATAAATGAATCAGAATACATTAAATAAAGCAGTTCATAGGCAGGGAATATCAGTGCTACTTTAATAATATAAAACCCTATTTTAAAAGATTATATCAAAGTTCTTTGTATCTTTTAGAGCTGTGGTTTTCAAATTTTGCTGACTACACAACACCATCAGTTAAAAATATTTGTACACACACCTATTTACTTACAAAATATATGCATATATTGTGGTGAGTCTATATATTCAGTATTAATAAAGATTGTATTTTCTTATTTTCAGATAAATAGAAATTCTAAGCCTGGGCAACATGGTGAAACTCTGTCTCTACGATACAAAAATTAGCTGGGCGTGGTGGCACACACCTGTAATCCCACCTACTTGGGAGGCTGAGGCACGAGAATTGCTTGAGCCTGGGAGGAAGAGGCTGCAGTGACCTGAGATTGTGCCACTGCAGTGCAGCCTGGGCAACAGAGCAAGACCCTGTCTCAAAAAAAAAGAAATTACATTTTCTTCCTATACTCTAGGTCATTTGGTTGCCCACGTCAGACTTCCTAGAAGCTCTTTACACTCAGTAGATATTCAGTAAAATGGGATTAAAGGGAAGTGATGACTCCTACCTAATTATAGACATGAACAGGAGGGAAAAAAGGGAGAATACAGTTTTTTGTCATGGGCTGGGCAAGCACTAACTGGAGAGTCTAGACTACAACATAATGGACAACAATACAATTTTTTCTCTTTAAGATATTCAGTAAATAACAGATATCCATAGTAGAAACCTCTTTATTAAAAGCAATAAGTCAATTATAATATAGCATTTTTAGATATTTTCTTATCTAAAAGAATTGTGCCTTGAGCTTCAAGTTACGTGGACACAGGAAATCCCGTTGCATTACAGTGCTATTAAACCTTCTACCACAGCCACAGTATCACGATGATTAATGCTTACCATGACCTTCAGGTACTGAAATAACCATAACTGCCTTTGGATCATCGAAAAGATAAGATTAGGTTCAATATTAACTTAGTTATATACGCATTTAAAAATTCATAACCTAGGTATTACATATATGAAAATGTTCTTTTAACATAAAGTTCTACTTCTTTACTTTTAATAAATAACAGCACTTAAGATAATAAAAATATGGTTAATTTAAAAGTGAAGGGCTTCTTTTTGTTTTGGTTTGGTTTTCAATTGTAATTTGTTGGAGGATACATCAGTGGATACCACATCAGTGACATAACATTCTATGGGGTTTATGATCCCTTTAAGACTCCAGTGAGGCCAGGCGTGGTGGCTCACGCCTATAATCCCAGCACTTTGGGAGGCTGAGGGGGGTGGATCACGTGAGGTCAGGAGTTTGAGACTAGCCTGGCCAATGTGGTGAAACCCCATCTCTACTAAAAATAAGTCAGGCGTGGTGGCGGGCACCTGTAATTCTAGCTACTCGGGAGACTAAGGCAGGAGAATCGCTTGAACCTGGGAGGTGGAGGTTGCAGTGAGCCGAGATCGCGCCATTGCACTCCAGTCTGGGTGACAAGAGCGAAACTCTGTCTCCAAAAAAAAAAAAAAGACAAGACTCCAGTGAAAGCCAAAGGACTTTCTCCCCAGCACACAATTCATACATAAAATTTGCTTACAATGTTAACTGAATTCACAGACATCCTAAGTAAGAAACCTCTATTTTGTAATACAGACCTGAATATATTGTCCAATTTATTTAAAAAGCTGTTTGAAACCCAGCTTTATAAAATAGCAGGCTCTTTAAAATAATGTTCAGTACCTTCCACCTTCTAGGAACTATTATTCTAAATACATCATATGTATCAACTTATTTCATCCTTATGTCAATCCCCATGAGGGAGATTCTTTTATCCCAAGTTTACAGATGATAAAACTGAGGCAGAGGAGGTCACACAGCTAGAAAATGGCAAAGCTTGGATTGAGAGCCATGGAGACTGCTTATAAAAGTGAGGTGTTACTTAATTATACAGTTTTAACAAACCTTAAAATACCAGAAGTCCTAATCAGCATATTTAAGACTTGGAAGTATAACCTCCCTTAGAAACACAGCTGAACATAATGGGAATTGCTAATAAACACAGACAGTTAAAAACTTATCAACTTCCTAAAATTGGTTCCCTGGTGACACAGAGAACCTAGTTAGGATCAGCTTTCTTTCGTTGTCTTTGTTTTTGAGACAGGGTCTCGCTCTGTCACCCAGGCTGGAGTGCAGTAGCGGAAGCAGATCATAGCTTACTGCAGCCTCGAACTGCTGGACCCAAGCAGTCCTCCTACCTCAGCCTCCCAAGCAGCTGGAACTACAGGCATGAGCCACAATACTTGGCTAATGTTTTTTTTTTCAGACATGGGAGCTCACTATGTTGCCCAGGCTGGTTTTGTGCTCCTCCTCCCACCGTGGTGTCCCAAAGTGCTGGAGCAGCTTTCTTTATCCTCACCAGAATTTTTACAAACTTTTAATTTTAAGGCATAAATAATGTTACTTGTGTCTTACATTTTTTACTATTTTTTCTTTTACAGAAATAAATTAGACAATAATTCTAAGAGAAAGTTGATTCATAATATTTGTTTCTTCAAGATTATTATAAATTAACTGGTAAAATCAGCAGTTTTCCAAAAGTTCAAAATTTGGTAATTCAGGATTTATCTAAGCATAAGGAACTTCCAAACGCGTATGAATCACACTGAAAAATAAAGTCTCCTGGATCCTAAAGTTCCAATTCTGTAAAGAATCTCTACAGGTACCCCAAGGCAATCTGTCAAAAATGATGAAATAGGCTGGGTATGGTGGCTCATGCCTGTAATCTCAGCACTTTGGGAGGCTGAGGCAGGTGGATCACAAGGTCAGGAGTTCGAGGCCAGCCTGACCAACACAGTGAAACCCCATCTCTACTAAAAATACACAAATTAGCCAGGCGCAGTGGTGGTAGCCTGTAATCCCATCTACTTAAGAGAGGCTGAGGCAGGAGAATTTCTTGAACCTAGGAGGCGGAGGTTGCAGTGAGCCAGTGAGCTGAGATAGCACCACTGCACTCCAGCCTGGACAACAGAGCAAGACTCCATCTCCAAAAAAAAAAAAAAAAAAAAAAAAAAAAAGATGAGACATAAATTTGGATGAAAGACATTTTAGTCTATTAAAAACAGACTCCAGGGCATGGTGGCTCATGCCTGCAATCCCAGTGCTTTGGGATGCTGAGGCTGGTGGATCCCTTGAGGGTAAGAATTCAAGATCAGCCCAGACAAGACAGCGAGACCTCAACTCTACAAAAAATTTAAAAAATTAGCCAGTTTTCGTGGCATGTGCCTGTAGTCCTAGCAGGGTGGTGAGGTAGGAGGATCGCTTGAGCCCCGGAGTTTGAGGTTATAGTGAGCCATGACTATGCCACTGCACGCCAGCCTAGGCGACAGAGCAAGACCCTGTCTCTAAAACACATAATAAAATAAAATAATAAAAAATAAAAACAGACTCCATACTATTAAGCTTAGCAACTTTTACTCAACATCAAGCTTGTGTATGGCAGTCAAGGGAAAAGATGACTTACCTGGATTTGTGATGTTGAGTAGTTTACAGGAATAAGGATCCTCCCTGTCTTCCACAGGCACTTCACAGCCATGAGCACCTATTATGAACTTCACAAGCACACTGAGAGATGTGTTGGCATTAACATCAGTTACTGATCTTCACCTCGCACATGCACGTTTCCTCATGCCCATTTCAGAGCTTTTACTTTGAGACACAAGTGTTTATGAGGATTAATTCTCTACCTTTATTCTTCTAGTCAGACAAAATGGGGGAACAAGTAAACTGAAAGTTGCTAACTACCAAGTTACTTATGCATGAGTCCTTATTGCAATGCTATATTAAAGCAAGTATGAATATGTCTGGCCTCGCTACAAGCAAATGTTCATATCATTTAAAAGCAAACTATAGTAAAGTCAGTTCTCATGCCCATACCTAAAAACATATCTATATCTAAAATTTTCCTTTGCTGCCTTCTTCTATTTCAGAAAGTGTTCCTTTTGCTCAAGATTAGGTCTTTCCATCCAAGAGGAAATCCCCTTCTCTCCTAGACCTTGCTTCACTGGTTACCCCTGTAACTAGTGACTCCTTCCCTCCACATTACAAACATGATAAAGTCCTGACTCTAATTATTCTCTTCACCTTCCATCCTTCCTTGCCACCACACTTTACACTGAGGTCCTACAAAGAAATTAAAACTGCAGCCTGTTTCTTACTTCCCACTCATTTTATAAAACAAGAGTTTTAGCTTTAATATCACCACCTCCACTGAGATTCCACTAATGTAACCAATGAGCTGCTGCTAAATCAATAGACACTCTTGAACTCTTACCTTCCTGGTTTCTCTACGGCTTAATACTGCCCAGCTCCCTAAAATGCTCTCTTCCCTTCCTTCTGTGGCCTGCTCAGTCATCTTCACTGCCTCTTGTTCCCCAGCTTGTCCACTGAGAGTGGTATTAGTCTAGGGCTCTGCCTTTGGGTCTTTTCTCAATCTACTCATTTTTTTTACTTCCTCTCCCTAAACAATATTATTTATTCTCATGGCTTCAAATAGCATGGGAATGATTCCTGAATTAGTAACTCTAGTTGTTTTCTTTTTTTTTGAGACAGAGTCTCGCTCTGTCACCCAGGCTGGAATACAACAGTGTAATCTTGGCTCTTTGCAGTCTCCACCTTTCAGGTTCAAGTGATTCTCCTGCCTCAGCCTCCTAAGTGGCTGGGATTACAGGCGTGTGCCACCACGCCTGGCTAATTTTTGTATTTTTAGTAGAGACGGGATTTCACCATGTTGGCCAGGCTGGTCTCGAACTCTTGGCGTCAAGTGATCTGCCTGCCTTGGCCTCCCAAAGTGCTGGGATTACAGGTGTGAGCCACTGTGTCCGGACCTGAATTAGTAACTCTAGTTTAGACCCATGTAAAGGACCTGTAAATTCACTGGACATCTTCACCCAGATAACCCACAGACAGCTGTGTGCTAAAGCCTGCTACTACTGGCTTCTGGGAGCCAACTGTCAACTTTTCAGAAATTTTGTGAGACGGTTATTAAACATAGCCTTTATTTAAAATTAAATTATATAATCTTATAATATATATTAAAATCAAAGGAAATACTCAAATTAATCACTTAATGTTTTACTACATTTTACTATTATGTTCTTGAGATCATTTATATTTATTACATCTACATGGTGGAAATAGTATATATGGCATGCTACTGCTTATCTTTCCCCCACTCTGTGTTCAGTGATGTCACATTAGTCACTTGAATTGGCCATAGTGGAAATATTCACACCCTAGAAACTGGCAAATAATACAAATAAGGGTTTGGTTTATTGTTTTGTTGACTGTCTAGACTTAAGAAAGTATAGAGAAAATGTTGATAATGCAAATTAAGCTTAATGTGATGTGTCTATCTATAGCCACTACAGAGTGAATAGTTAAAAAAAAAAAAAAAAGTCAAGGAAGATACGATTCCAGTGTTCCAAAACTATTACCTGATACAGCATAGAAGTCACTGACTTTATTAAGTGTAAAGCTGACATATCTTAGTTGTCACTTTAGTCCTCACCTCACTGTTTAACTTAAAAGAAAGACTTTTGTCACAACTACACTCTTTTGTTAACTGCAACCATAAGTTGGTCATAGATAGGAGAGTCTGACAAACAACAAAAGCGTTCTATGAGAATCAACTGGTTTCATGGAATTTACGATAAACAGTATTGTATAGGTTATTATCTGTCAATTACAGGCTGTATATACTTTATGTCAATAAAATTTATAATAAACATGTATGTACATATAAGCATCATTTTTCCCAGAGAGCCAGTTAGTAAACCTTTATCAGTACACTACTGCCTGTAGGAACCTCAAGGTCAACATATACACAACTGAGCTTCTTTCCCATGAAACCTGCTCTTCTCTTTTAGTATTTTTGTTTTGATTGATGATTCCACTATTCTCCAAGTCAGAACACTAGCAATCTTCCTAGCCTCCTCCTCCATTTTCTACATTCAATGACCTTATTCTCTCACAAGGTCACCCCTCTGATCTCTGTAGATCAGCCCCTCAGCAGTCCTTGCCACAACAGGTCTCGTCCTTCCACTCAACCCTCCACATGCCTGTTACATGTGATCTGCTCACTGTCTGCCTCTCACAGTCATATGCTTCCCCCCTCTTTTCTTTATATACACCTCTCTACTCTCCTACCTCTCCTGGCTGTTTCTCTCACACTGTGCCACAACCCTTCCCCCACCACCACAAGCCCTGTGCTCAAGTTATATAGAAGTGTTAGGAGTTTCTCAAACACCCCGGGCTATTTTATATCTATTTATATCACAGCACATACAACATTTTATTATACGATTACACCTATTTCCTTCTACTAAATGTCAAGCCCCTCCTAACACTCTATTTATCTCTGTATTCTACCACACATACTACATTATTTGCTTACAGAAGTACTTAGTGTTGAGTTTGGGTCCTTTGGTGAAATGCAAGAATGGAAAATATGCCATAACCACAGAAATGCAGTTTCTGTTACTAATTACCAATTAAGGCAGAATACCTTTCATAGATAACTAGCATTTGGAATAAAAGTATAAACAGAAATGAATAAATGTGCTAACTAAATTATTGCAAGTATGTACCAAATTTGGTTTTTTAGCCATCTTACTAGGTACTCTTACTAGATCCACAAAATTACTGTGTCCCAGGAAGGTGTTTCTGCCTAATATCTATTTTTATACAGATAGCTGATCATTCTCATAACACAAATCAAGCACGCTAAATTTAAAGCAAGACTGTTATGATGGCAAATAAATTAGTGGTGAAATGTCTGAATATAAACTATATTCATTACATTTGGTTCTGAGTCATTCATTCAATAGTTGTTGAGTGCCTTAGTCTGCACCAAGCTAGGTTTTAGGTATTGGGAATACACCAGTGAAAAAACCTGAAGCCCCAATGCTCATGAAACCTACATTCAAGTGGAGAAAGACAAACAATTTTACAACTAAATACAATACAGATGCCAGCTGGTGATAAGTGTTACCAAAAAAAAATTAAAGCCAACTAAGGGAAGACACAAACAAGATAGGGGTGGGCTGCTATTTACTATGGGGCTGTCTGCTAGAGTGACATCTAATCAGAGACCTGAAGGAAGTGAGTCCTGAGGACATTAGTGAGAGAGGACGTAGGAAATGCAAAGGCCCTGAGGTAGGGGCACTTTTAGTGTATGAAAGTACAGTAAGGCAGCCAGTGTAGGGGAAGTAGATGTAGATAAGGTCAAATACCACAACAAAGACTTGGAGTTTCACTCTGAGCAAGAAAGGAGGTCAATGGAGGGGTATGAATAGAGAATTGACATAATTTGACTAATTTTAAAAGGATCACTCTGGCTGCTGTATGGAAAATAAAATGTAGGGGGTCAAAGGTAGAAGCAGTAAGTTCAGAGAAGGGGACTTCTGCAATAATCCAGGTGAGACATAATGGCAGCCTAGATCAGATGGCAGTGGTAAAGGTGGTGAGAAGTCAGATTCTGGGTATGGTCTAAGCAGCATCTGGAAGGTATGCTGATGGATTGGATGTGGCAGGTGAAAGGAAAAATCAGGGTAACACCAAGGGTTTTGGTCTGAGCAACTGGTGGAGGAGTCATTATTTTCTAACAGGGAAATACTACAGGAAGTACAGCTTTTGGAGGTGGTTCTGATAGTAGTGATGATTCTGAGGTCTTTCATTTGCTGTGTAATAGGCTCTATTATCATTGCAACCATGAACTAAAGAAACCTGTCTTGAAAAGGAATGAAAGCTACTATGAGTAAGCACTACTAGTGACAAGAAAATTCACAACTAGGCCGGGCTTGGTGGCTCACGCTTGTAATCCCAGCACTTTGGGAGGCCGAGGCAAGCAGATCACCTGAGGTCAGGAGTTCGAGACCAGCCTGGCCAACATGGTGAAACCCTGTCCTTACTAAAAATACAAAAATTAGCCGGGCATGGTGGCAAGTGCCTGTAATCCCAGCTACTTGGGAGGCTGAGGCAGGAGAATCGCTTGAACCCAGGAATTGGAGGTTGCAGTGAGCCAAGATCGTGCCACTGCACTTTAGCTTGAGCGACAGCAAAACTCCATCTCAAAAAAAAAAAAAATTCACAACTGCAATTTGCTTGTATAGCTACTCAGTCACAAATGTGCCAGTGCAATTCAATCCTGAAAGGGCCTTCTCTGCTTATCACCTGAGTCTTCACATACATAGAAGTCAACTTCTATGCGTTTCTTCCCCTAGTCCCTCACTACACAATCTTCAGAGGTTGATCTCATTGAGAACAGACTAAGGCTTTGGGCCCCTAACTAATAACTGAGAGCTATCTAATGTCAGCATGAAATGGATTACCAAAGCTCAGTTCCAGAAGGGTAGTCAGGAAAAAGAGCATGGCATATTACACATACTGCAGATTACACAACTAAAAAATACTACAAAACTGAAAAAAATTAAATTTATCTCTGTGAAGTTAGTGAAAAGTATATTTAGACATGCACATGTGTCTAAGGAGAGAACTGCTCTAGAACAGAACCTTTTAAGAATTGCTATTCTAAATCAAAGCAAAAAACAAACAAACCACACTGGGTATCTAAATACTACACGTTAACCAGTGAATATACTCTCTTCCAATTATCATTTGGCTTAAAATGTTGGTTAAATTTACTTTTTGGCCCAAACTATATGGAAGAAAAGCAAATGAAACAGCCATTTCTCCCAGGAAGAGCCCACATATCTGAATGAACATTTCTATTCAAAGTAAGGTTTTTCAGAACTTTTTTTTTTTTTAAATTAGGCAGGGACTCATTCCCATCATGCAGGCTAGAATGCAGTGGTGCAATCATGGCTCACTGCAGCCTCAATTTTCCAAGCTCAAGCAATCCTTCCACCTCAGCCTCCCCGGTAGCTGGGACGACGGGCACACACCACCACGCCTGGCTAGGTTTTTCAGAACTCTTATTTCAATAAACCAGGCAAGGCAACAACTCAGAAAACCTACCGTTGACTTAATGTGGGATGCTGTAGCAAATGTCTCATCCAGGTGCTTCTTATCACGTTTCGAAGTTCATGGTTATTGCGAGCTGACAACACGCCAACTACCACATCATAGTGAGTAGATTTCCACTGAGGAAATAAGGCCAACTGATCTAGAAATAAGAACAATACATGAGAAATAAGTCATGTATCAATTACTATGAAGTTCAATATGTATCATAAGTTTATTACAAAATAAGCTTATGTTTGTAGGAAATTCAGATAAACACAAAGAAAAGAATTTTTAAATCACATATGAACCCACTATCCAGAGACAACCACTAATAACATTTTGGTTTAGAGTATTTTTGTCTTTCACGTATATATGTATGTATTCATGCTCACGTAAGTATACTAATTCTTCAAAACAAACAAGATGTGGTAAGAATCTGTTTCAAAAGGCAACGTAGCATAAAAAAATAGTAGGCATTAAGAGTCAATTAGGCCACAGTTAGAATCCAGGCTCTATCATATATTAACTATAAGTTATTTAGCTTCTTGAGCCTCAGTTTCCTCAACTACAAAATGGGTATAATAATACTTCTCATAAAGCTGTTGTAAAAATTAAATGAGATAACATGTATAAAGCTCTTGGTTTGGTATTAGGCATATATGAGGCATTCAATGGCAACTAAAAAAAATGTGCTTTGAAAAGTGAGGTCCTACATTAATGTTAGTTATTAAGTTTGGCGGATGACGCTGAAGGACTTCCATACCGGAAAGTAATGCAACCCTTATTTATATCAATGAATTCTATAGCCAGTAAACCTTTCACTACCTACAAAATATTCTGAAGAATGACGGGAAAGCAACACTTTTAGTAAAAAAAAAAAAAAATAATAATAAAGTAAGTCATTCTGAACGGCTCATTTTTTACTGTCAGAAGGTCTAATGGGCAGGGTTACATTTCCATGTAAAACTTGTCCTTAGAAGACAGAAGAGAAAGATATACTTTGTCCTTGTTTTTCATCACCAGTTTTAAGGCTTGAGAGCTACAAGCTTATATATAGCTCTGATGAGGTATCCATTTCATCTCTTTCTCCAGTGGTGGGAACTGATCCAAAACGTTTCCAAAAATAAATTATTGAAGCCCAGACTCTTTACTATATTAAATGCAATGTTTTTATATACCATGGGATCTAGGTATTCAGTCTAAAAGACAACAAAACCAGGTTGATATTTTCTTCAAAGGCCCAATTAAAATAATAAAAACAGATCTTTCTACTAGGATAGTTTTAAGGATATAATACAGAAATTTTTGTGTAGATACCTTATTTTCCACAATAGATATATTTCTTAAAATGTTTCATTCTGGGCCAGGCACGGTGGCTCATGCCTGTAATCCCAGCACTTTGGAAGGCCGAGGTGGGCGGATCACCTGAGGTCGGGAGTTCAAGACCAGCCTGACCAACATGGAGAAACCCTGTCTCTACTAAAAATACAAAATTAGCCGGGTGTGGTGGTGCTTGCCTGTTATCCCAGCTACTTGGGAGGCTGAGGCAGGAGAATCTCTTGAACCCGGGAGGTGGAGGTTGGGGTGAGCCGAGACCGCGCCATTGCACTCCAGCCTGGGCAACAAGAGTGAGACTCCACCTGAAAAAAAAAAAAAAGTTCCATTCCAAATGGAATAGAGGTATTTATTATTTCACTCTACAATGAGTCATGTACTAAAACGAATTCTTTTATAAAGACAATTTATTTTTAAATAAATTCAAATTTTCATGGATTAAGCTTATTAATAGGCCATATTTATTGAACAGTTAATCTGTGAAAAGCACTACATATAGAGTATCATTTAATGTTCACAACCCTATGAGGTAGGTACTTGTTTCTTTTTTTTTTTTTTTTTGACGGAGTCCCACTCTGTGGCCCAGTCTGGAGTGCAGTGGCGGCGATCTCGGCTCACTGCAACCTCTGCCGCCCGGGTTCAAGTGATTCTCCTGCCTCAGCCTCCTGAGTAGCTGGGATTATAGGCGCCTGTCACTGTGCCTGGCTAATTTTTGTAGTTTTAGTAGAGATGGAGTTTCACCATCTTGGCCAGGCTGGTGTTGAACTCTTGACCTTGTGATCCACCGCCTCGGCCTCCCAAAGTGCTGGGATTACAGGCGTGATCCACCGTGCCTGGCCCAGTACTTGTTGAACAAATGAAACACCCAAAGAATTCAGTAACTTAAGTCAAACAGCTTGGAAATGGCTGGGCTAAGATTTAATCCCAGGCAATCTAACACCATTCTTTATCACTGTTCTATTCTAAAGCTATACAGCTTAATATAGCTTATCTGAGTCTAAATTCTGATCTTTTAATCCACAATACCAGTTCAACTGAATTAGCAATAAGCGGATCATTGAATACGCTGGGTAACACATCAATTTTTTTTAACTCATAGCTCAGAACATTTTTTCTCAGATACATAACTATATGATGGAAGTTGTACCTAGTGCTGGAACTCACTCTAAATGAGTGTCTGAATTCAGAGACTAATTTAAATGACTATGTAAAACTGACAATATGCCTCCCCACCTTTTTCACAGAGAAATATGTACATTCTAGTGTCAGGAAGGAGGCAAAACAAAGGTAGTGACCAGCCAGTTCTGACATTGATTCCACAGCCAAGATTTTGCATTACGTTAGTAAGAAATTATTTAAATCCCTGTGCTTCAACTTCTTAATTAGAGAAAACTGATACAAAAAAAATTTTGGATATTCTATTTCATTTGTTTCAAAGTCTCATCTCAAAAGATTAAAAGCTGTAGGGCAAAAATCACATTTAATCTAAATGCCTCATTTATCTGACATCATCAGAAAATAAGGATGCTGCACAAAAGCAAACTTTCAAAATATTTGAAACATCACTTTTAATTCCAATAATTTACTACCTTATTTTTGATGGCTAATCAAAGCAAATCTTTTAGAAATAGATTACATAGAACATAATTTAATCTTTTCTTGATGTCTCAAAATCTTCATGAAAATTTCTCAAATCTATCCCTTTCTTGTCATTAATTCTAGCTGCTGCTCAGTTCGGTCTGTTTTTTCACCTGGACCAGTACGAGGGCATCCTAACTGGTTTTTACCTGACTTCTCCATATAATTGTCAAACAAGATTTTTCTAAAAATAATAAAGAAATACAAAGATAACCATGTGACATGTGAAAATCCCATGGATTATGGATGGAAACCTCTTTTTGATCTTATTCCACCTCTCTGCCACTCTCAATCCCCCCTGCTTCTAATCCATGTCTAAGCTGCTTCTGTTCAACTGCTTTACTTTACATGCATTTCTCTTTTTCTTGCAGAGGGAAAGTAACACGGCATATCGTGGTCTTTTAGAGAACTACTTCAAGATATATTGAAGTCAAATGTCAGAAAAATAGGTTTTTTAACCACATACCATTAATGTAAATTAGTCCAATAGACTCCTGAGTACTGTGTTACACAGTACAAAACCCAAAGCAGATGCATAATAAAATACCTATGTAAGAATGTTGCTCAAATTTCTAGCTCCCTTTACCAATCTGGCTCTAAACTCTTATCACCTTTTATGTTACAAGAACAGGGTACCTAGTTGACTCCAGTGTCTAGAAACAGAGGGAAAAAAAGAAAGTGGTAAGAAGTAAACATGATACAGAAGGACATAAAGATAATTCAGAAAAGAAAAAAGGCAAATAGCAAGCCTATGAAAACATGTTCAACTTCAATAAGAATCAAGTTTGAATTAGAGCAATGAGACACCAGTTTTCTCCTACATTCAAACTGACAAATGTCTTCTTAAATGATTGTAACTAAATGATGGTACTTCAAGGAAATGTTGTTAGTGATTTCAACAAAGTGGCTACTCTCCGCCGGGCACGGTGGCTCATGCCTATAATCCCAGCTTCAATTTTGGGAGGCCGAGGAGGGCAGATCACAAGGTCAGAAGTTCGAGACCAGCCTGGCCAATATGGTGAAACCTCATCTCTATTAAAAATACAACAAAAATTAGCTAGGTGTGGTGGTGCATGCCTGTAATCCCAGCTACTCGGGAGGCTGAGTCAGGAGACTTGCTTGAACCTGGGAGGCAGAGGTTGCAGTCAGCCAAGATCCCGCCACTGCTCTCCAGTCTGGGTGACAGAGCTAGACTCCTTCTCAAAAAAAAAAAAAAAAAAAAAAAAAAAAAAAAGGCTACTCTTTTTCATTGCGGGAAGGAATGTAATTTGGTACAGTCTTCTGCAGGGCAATTTGGCAATGTGTCAAATAATTTAGAATGGTGTAACTTTGTCCAGCAATTCTAAGAACTCATTCTAAAGAAATAATCAGTGATACACTCAGAAGATCTTTATTAATCATAGTGTCACCTATTAATAGCGAAAAACTGCAAGCTACATAAACACATAAAGGACTCATTAAATAAATTATGGTGTAGCTATATGACAGAATACTATGCAGCCATTAAAATTACATGTTAATCATATCATTAAACATTATTCTATTAATACATCATATTAAGATAAACAGGCGATAGGAACTATGTAGATACTAGACGGTTCTGTTTATATAAAGTACAAAAGTAGCCAAATTTCTGCCACTGGTTACTATCCCTGGTAGTGACAAAACAGAGCATGAAGGGAACTTCTGAAGCACTGATAGTTTTCTTTTTTTAAATCTGGGTGGTGATTAGTTGGGTGTGTTCAATTTGTGAAAATACATCAAACTGCGCCAGTTTTATTCTCTTGATTTATTCACTCAAATGACAGAGCATCTCCTATGCTCATTGTTCTAGATGGCACAGATACAGCAGTAAACAAAATCTTCATAATGTCAGGACTAAATCACAATCCCAAGCAAGCTCCCTGAGGGCAACGTAAGGGCCAAGGGAAAGTTTTCCCTCTGAAGGTTCGGTGAAAATCACTGACAAGAGATGGACAGGAGAAAAGGCATATAAATTTATTTGATCAGTAAAGATACAGGAGAAAGTGCCCATTTCTGTGCTTAGGTTTAACAAAGTATAGATAGCTATGTGGAATTAAGATTGGACAGAAAGGGTAGGATCTAATGTTAACAGATGGAGTTGGAAAACCCAGCAAGGCCTGTCTAGATTCTTCTTGTCCTCTCTGAGTATACATTCTTTCCTACTGGGTATGGGATAGGACCCTCTCTGGTATGAGGTTCTTATGACCTTTAATAAAAGAAGGTAAGTTAGGTAATTTTTATATAGAAAGGAGGTGGTGGGGGCTAGTTAGAGTAATATGTTTAGGTTTTATGGCTGGCTTTGGGGAAGAGGGATTTTAGTTTCTACAGCTAGCCTCAGGTGAGAATGCAAGGCCAGAGAGAGGACAGCAGCAGCAGGTCAGAGACAGCTGCTTCTGAGGCCTTATTTTGGGGTATTGTTTTCTTCTGAGACCCTACAGTAAGAACTATTTCTTTTCTTAATATGTAATATATCCTGAGAGTCTGGCAACCTGCTCAACCCTGCACTGTGAGTGGACATCCAAAGGTATATTAAAGTCTAAGGGAGGGCCTGGCGCAGTGGCTCATGCCTGTAATCCTAGCACTTTGGGAGGCCGAGGTGAATGAATCGCTTGAGGTCAGGAGTTCGAGACCAGCCTGGCCAACATGGCAAAACGCAGTCTCTACTAATAATACAAAAATTAGCTGGGTGTGGTGGCACACACATGTAACAGAGGCTGAGGCAGGAGAATGGCTTCAACCCGGAGGCAGAGGTTGCAGTTAGTCAAGATGGTGCCACTGCACTCCAGCCTGGGCGACAGAGTGAAACTGTGCCTCAAAATAATAATCAAAAAAGTCTAAAGAAGGTTGACATCAAAATTGATTGCTCAAAATAAGCCCAAGAGTCTTAAAAATCACACCAAAATTCCACTCTGATATGCATGCTCTTGGAAGAGTCACAAATAGATACAAATCTTGAAAATGAAGAAAACATGTGAGCCTGTCACAGATCTAATGATAAAGACAATCATCATACACACTACCAAAGACACCTCCCAAAACACCACACTAGCACAGGCATCAGCGGCCACCAGACTACCACTCCTCTCTCAAACTCATGGAGTGTTTACTATGAAACAGGCACTGTTGCGGGTGTTTCATTAATTGAATCTTCACAATAAGTCTATGAGATCATCATCTTATAAATAAGGAAACTGAAGCACAGAGACACAATTAGCATATAGGGATAATTTTGGAAGAACTCACCCCAGGCAAAATTACAAAGCAAGCTCAATTTGTTTTCTGACCTTCTACTTGCTCTACATCTGTTTCCATTAGATACTGTGAGCACCTTGGGAGAAGGGACTAGGCATCCAGCACAGAATCTAACACTCAAGTACTTGTTGAGTGAATATGCTCCTTTGTTTTGGTTTCTTTCTTTCCAGATACCCTAGAAAGCGAAGCCTTCTTTTGTCACATCATTTTTCTAAATTAACCGTTAAATAATTCCTACTTAAGGCATTACCCAAAACGAGCATTTTGTAATCAAGATATCCTATGTTTAGATTCCTTAGTCCGATGGTTATCTCCACCTGCATTTTCCTCTGTCACCCTCAGGTGTACTGGATTTCACTTCCTCTTTACCAGTTGCTTTCCCTGACTGGTTTAAGGGAACCTATCACATTAAAAAAGTTGCTGACTCTGGTACTAAGGTGACTCACTTACTTCATTCTGGTCCCTGCTCAACTGTTACCTCTTCAGAATGGAATGGACTTCCCTGACCTATTTAAAACCATCTCTTTAATCTCTTAACACTGCTTTATCTTTTTTCCCTATACTTATCACTACCGCTGTGATATTTATAATTATTTCCTGATGCTCTGTCTTCCCTTCTAAATTGTAAACTACATGAGGGCAGGAAGTTTAGCTTGATTACTGCTGTAATTCCACACCTACGATAGGAGCTGGCACAGAGTAGGCTCTCAAATATTTGCTGAATCAACTGCGAGCCAAAGAACCTTTTTTAATATTCAGGGAAGGTAAATCGCTCTTTCAAAAAAAACAAAGAAACTGCCATTACTTAATGAGACTGAAGACAGACAAAGCAGCAGAAGAGAAAAAAAAATACATTTAAAAATGTTAATTCAAGAAAAGAATACTTAGCAAAATCTTGGGTTTTTTTTTCTCCTGTTAGGCTTAAAGTACAAGGGTTAAAATGTAAAAACACCCAACTATTTTAGTTTCAACATGGTGACAGCACAATGGTAAAGGAATTATGGGAAATTTTAGCATTTAAGATGCTTCCACTGCTTTTAGCTTTGAAAGTACCAAAAGGAAAAAAGGAAAGGTAGGAGTCAGTCTTGTTTAATTAATTAATTAATTATTTTGAGATGGACTTTCGCTCTTGTCACCCAGGCTGGAGTGCAGTGGCGCAATCTCGTCTCACTGCAACCTCCGCCTCCGAGGTTCAAGTGATTCTCCTGCCTCAGCCTCCTTAGTAGCTGGGATTACAGGCATGCACCACTATGCCCGGCTAATTTTTGTATTTTTAGTAGAGACGGGGTTTCGCCATGTTGGCCAGGCTGGTCTTGAACTCCTGACCTCAGGTGATCCACCCACCACGGCCTCCCAAAGTGTTGGGATTACAGGCGTGAGGCACCGCGCCGGGCCAGTCATGTTTAACTTAGATTATTAAAATATCGATGGTTGACAGCTGCAGCAAACCACCATGGCACACGTTTACCTATGTAACAAACTTGCACGTCCTGCACACGTATCCCGGAACTTAAAAAAAAATCCCATTTATTATCTGACCAGATACACAGTACTCATTCAAAGCCAAAGTTAATTAACATAACTAGTATTGATCTTCTTACCTACGTTATTACCCTGTTCCTTTCTATGGTCTACTTCTTCATTTCCTTAATCTAGCCTGGTCTAACTACTGGATGGCAGATAAAGGCATCATCCTTCAAGTGCAGTAAGGGAGTAGGAAAAACTTGTCTCAAACTAGAAAACTGCCTAGCAAGTCTACTAAGATTTCAGTTTGAAGTCTACTAACATTTCAGTTTTTGTTTGTTTTACTGAACCCTAAACAACCATTAAGGCCATAAACAGACTTAATGACGCTCTACAAGGAGATTCCAGCAGGGCTCACTCATAACAAAAGAGAGAAACCTGTAACACACAAGCAGCTGTTACAAAGCATTTTTTATATATGGCGTTCTCTTCTTAGTTCACTTCACAAAAACCTAAAAAACACTGAGCAAAACCCTGACCCCATCAACTGGTTAAGTGCATAGCAACACTGTACTTTCATTAAATCACTTAAATAGTGTTTAATTCTATTCAGGTCACACAAATCCTTTTCAAAGAGCTAGTGATCTAATAGGAAAAGAGATTGTTACCAAAATAACCTCAACATAATTTCATATAACTGAGACTGTTTTGAGGATTGCCGAATACTTTCTACTTATAAGGCATAGAGTGCTGAACTGCAAACACTCAATTCTAATTTTAAGAACTTTTGGATTAGAAAACAGCTGTTTTGGGGAGAGATGGTAAGGGAAAAAAGTCCCAGTATAGTTACAAAATTAAGTATTACATAATATTTAAAAGAGCTTTCTAGGTTTCTTTCATGTTCTAGGGCAAGCCCTTAAAGAAGAAGACAAGAGATACAGGGAAAGCTAAAGTAGTGTTCAGGGTGGTGGAACCCACTAACAAAACAATCCGCTGGGCACCGTAAGTAAAGCATTCTATTAGGCTGTGACGCGAAACAAGAACAAAGGTTTCATTCCTACGAGAGATTAAGTTTTAGAGCAAATGGACACGATCGTTAAAGAATTTGATATTTCCATGTAAACTGCATTAGCAGGTTATGCGATCCAAACTCACAGGAACAACTCCAACTCTCGGCCATGCCCTATTTCATGTCTAGATTTGTTTAACCGACTTACATCATAATCCAAGAATACGAACTACAGTATATTCTTACAGCAAAGTTATTCCTTAAAAGCAAAACCGAGCCACCTTTGAAAACACGCACACACATTATCCACGGCACTAAAACCCCAGTCTTGACCGAGAAAGACCAACAACTTGGGGGGGAAGAAAACAACTTCAGAGCCAGAGCTCCCAAAGCAGAAAGCGCTGGCGGCTGAAGGGCACACGAGGTTCCGCTCCCGGGCGAACGGGCGGCGTCGGACATCACTAACCAGGCCTGGGGACAGGCGAAGGACTTGCAACTGCGGGCGCCGGCTCTGCGGGCGTTAAGGGAAACGGGGAAGTGAGAAGAGGCGGGGACACGAAAAGAGAAAAGCTCCCTCAAGTTTGCCCGATGTTAACGCTCCAAGGATGAAAAGAGCCGTTTGTTTCGTCTGGGGACCGTCGCGTTTGGCCCTTCCCCCGCCTCCAACAATTCCCGGCGAAGCCCCGCGGCACCAAGCCGGGCCTCCCACCCCCCCGGCGGCCGCCAACCCGCCCGGCCCCAGGACCTCACCTGCAGGGCCGGCCCCGGAGGCGCAGGCGGGCGGCGGGGAGCGCAGCCGCAGCCAGAGGTGCAGCGCGGCCCCGAGCACACACGGGCACAGCAGCACCAGCCAGTTTCGCATTGGCCGCCCCCGCCGCGAGCCGGGCTCTCCCGCGTCCCGGCGGAGAGGGAGGGGACCTGCAAGTGCGGAGACTGAGGGGCGGCGGCTGACGAGCGACCACTCCGAGCACGCCCGCCCTCGCGCTCGGCGACGTCTGGGGGGCTCCTCGCAGCTCCCGGCCCCGCTCCTCCGGTCCCTCAGACCGCGGGTGGCCGCGGCTTAGCCGGCCGAAGCCCCGCCCCCTCCGCCTGGCCTTCCCACCGGCTCCGCCCACCTTTTCTCCCACTCGCCCCGCCCTCTCCTCCCGCGTTTCCACACGCGCCAGCCAGCCGGCCGGGAGCTGAAGTCCCGCTCTGGGCCCAGGCAGGGGGCGCCCGCGGTTTAGAAACCACATTTCCCATGAGCCTAAGCACGCGCTTCCGTCACTCGGCGGCCGCGGGGGCGAAGGGCGAGGCCCCACACAGAGCATGCGCATCCCCCTTGACGTTTGCTGCCACCCCACGGCCCAGGGGAGGTAGTGCCGGAGACCCGGTGCTCGGAGGCTGCCCGGAGCCGCGAAGGGAAATGCGCTTTGCCTCAGATTTGAAGGAAATCCGAGTGGCTCTTGTGTGAAATCACGCAGAGCTCCTTTGTTCCGCGTGCTCTCTTGCTCGACTGCTGTGGGAGGTGGGATCCTGCTGACGTCTCCTTGGCCCGTAGAGTGGGGCGAGGAAGCCCGAGTGTCCGCGCCTGGAGCGGTGACTCATCAGGGATTAGCTCTGGTGCCGTGGGTTCCCGGCTCTTTGCCCGGTTCTGTGCTCTGGGAACGCAGGGTGACAGACAGCGAGCTGGGGACTAGGCTGTGGAACACGATGATGACGAGCCAATCAGGGTAGAACTGCACGTGCTCCGGGTTCATACTGGAGCTGGGAGCGAAACGGGAGCCGGGCGAGCTGGGAGAACGTGGGCTCCGGGGACCTGGGGAAGGGTGGCCGCAGCGAGCCTTCCAGGGAGAACGCCGGCCCCGCGTCTTGAGGCTTTGCCCCGGGTGGGAGCCCTCCTGGCCCACCAGGCCCGCGCCGAGGCAGCCGGAAAGCGGGGACGGGGCGGTGAAGGCACTGGGGTGAGGATGGGAGAGAAGGATGAGAACGAGCGGCTGGGCTATGGGGCGGTTTTTGTTTCTGCTTTTGTTTTTGAGACGGAGTCTCACTCTGTCACCCAAGCTGTAGTGCAATGGCGCGATCTCGGCTCGCTGCAACCTCCGCCTCCTGGGTTCAAGCGATTCTCCTGCCTCAGCCTCCTGAGTGGCTGGGATTACAGGCGCCCGCCACTGCGCCCAGCTAATTTTTGTATTTTTTTTGTAGAGACGAGGTTTCGCCATGTTGGCCAGGCTGGTCTCCAGCTCCTGACCTCAGGTGATCCGCCCGCCTCGGCCTCCCAAAATGCTTGGATTACAGGCGTGAGCCACCGCGCTCGGCCGCGGTTTTTTTTTTTTTTTTTTTAAGTTTCCACAAGTGTGGAAACAGAAGGTGACTGTATTATTGAAAAAAAGTCTTGGATGACAGAAGACCCAACTCAAACAGGCTTAAGGGAAAAAAGTACTTTGGCTCGCCGTGGCTCATGCGTGTAATCCCAGCACTTTGGGAGGCCGAGGTGGGCGGATCACTTGAGGGCAGGAGTTCGAGACTAGCCTGGGTAACATGGTGAAACCCTGTCTCTACTAAAAATACAAAAATTAGTCTGGCGTAGTGGTGGGCACCTGTAGTCCCAGCTACTCAGGAGGCTGAGGCAGGAGGATCGCTTGAACCCAGGAGGCGGAGGTTGCAGTGAGCCGAGATCGCGCCATTGCACTCCAGCCTGGGTGACAGAACGAGACTCTGTCTCAAAAACAAACAAACAAACAAAAAAAAAATAAAAAGAAAAGGCAAGAAAGTAATAATTGGTTGCCAGAAAAAGTATACTATTTTTATCCTCAGGAAAGGTAGTAAATGGCCTCTGTTGATATTGTAAAATTTTCATTTTGTGAATTAGAATGAGTTATCCTAAAAAGAGGACTAATCCCTCATTTCAGCAGAGCTAGTCATTCGACAAATACTTATTGAGTGTCTATTATGTACCAGACACTTTTGTAGGTACTTTAGATACACCAGTGAACAAAATAAAGATCCCTATCCTGTGTTGATGGGGAGTAGGGCGCAGACTATAGACATAATAAAGAAATATACTCAACCAGCATGTTAGAAGGTTATTCCTGCTCTGGAAAATATAACAATTAGGGCCGGGTAGGGGAATTGTGAGTGTGGGATTGAAATGACACAGATTGCAGTATCAACTAGCAGTATTTAAACAACTGTTCAAAGTTACAATGAGCACTAAAGGGAAGAATAAACATAAGTCATCCGAATATATTAAATAATCAAGGTGTTGTTTCACTTAACAACCTAGAGGGGAAGTTTTTCACTGGCTCTCTGACAAGCTTGTAACAAAAATAGTTTTGAATAACTTTGTAACATCCTTCAAATCACATCAGAGTGGGAGCTGTCTATAGTACTTGTTCATAGGACCAGTGACCTTTCCACTTACCTGTTTTCTACTGTCCCCTAATAATCTCATGACTAAAGTGAGTGAAGATTGCAAGACAGTAATTCCTGTAATCCCAGCACTTTAGGAGGCTGAGGTGGGAGGATCACTTGAGTCCAGGAGTTCAAGACCAGCCTGGGCAACATAGCAAGACCTCGTCTCTACAAAAAATTAACAATTAGCTGGGCATGGTGGTATACGCCTATAGTTCCAGCTACTCGGGAGGCTGAGGCAGGATGATCACTTAAGCCCCAGAGTTCAAGGTTAGAGTGAGCTATGATCACACCACAGGACTCAGTCTGGGTGACAGAGTGGGACCTTGTTTCTAAAAAAAAAAAAAAAAGGTAAAAGTGACAGTATGTGTAATGGAAAGAATAAAAAAACTCAGTAGTGATATAAACAGTCTGTGCACTCAAGGGGCTCATAGGGTAAGTAGGAACAAGTTAACAGAATTAGAATTAGGGAGAGACAAACTAGGGTGGTTGGTAACCATGATGGCAATTCAATGTGATAAGTGCTCTGAGAAAGGAATGCACAGGATGTTAGAGCAGCACAAAGCAGGGGGTACAGCTGTCTCTACTCATGGGGGATTGGTTCTGGACCTTCTATGGATACCAAAATTCATGGATGCTCAAGTCCCTTATATAAAATGGTATAATATTTGCATATAACATACACACATCCTCTCATATACGCGAAATCATCTCTAAATTACTTATAACACCTAATATGATGTCTACGCATCACTTCATTCACGTGGATTCAATGGCATGCGCAAATTCAAGTTTGCTTTTTTCCTGAATTTGAGGTTGGTTGAATTCATAGATGCAGTACCCAGGGATATGGAGGGCCAACTATATTTAACTCTACTCAAGGGTCCCCAGAGGAGGCTATCTCTTGAAAATACAGGGCCGGGGCTTGAAGTCAAAGTGGCCAGTTAACAGGGCCAGAAAGTAGGAAGGACATTCAAGAGCACTGTAGGCAAAAAAATAAAAAATAAAATAAATAAACCTGAGCTAGTGATGACACGGCAATTAGGGAAATGTAAGCAATTGGTATGACCTTAGTGCAAGTTAGGAACACGGCAATGATGAGAAGGTGAACAGAAGGCAGAGGCCAGGTTGTAATCATAAACTTTGCTAAGGAATTTGGACTTTATTGTGAAGGCTCTAAAGAAGAATTTTTTTTTCTGATTACCAATGTAATACATGATTATGAAAAGGATCTTGGAAAACAGAAGAATATAAGAAATCATACTACATACAATTCATACATTTTTTAAAAGTTTTTTCATTAAAAAAATTTGCCATTCATACTGTAAGTTAGAATTTATATCCAACTATTTTCACCTAACCTATAAGCCTTCCCATATTTAATTAGTAGTCTCAGAAAATATAACTTAATCATTTGTCCACACTATAATTTCTTATCTGGTCCCGTATTATTGGACATACAGGTTGTTTCCATTATTCCACTATAATAAGTAATACTGGCACTTCTGTGCACAAAACTTTTTCCACATTTCAGATAATTTCCTTTTCTGATATTATTTTTAAGCCGCTTTATTCATACTGCTATTGTTTCAATGTGTATGTCTGCCTTCAATATGTTTCTCTTATCTCACCCTCATATTTTAAAAAAGTTCTTTATTAATTCAAAGGACAAAACTTTTCATCAATGAGATTGAATATTCTTATGTTCGTTAGCTGTTTCTATTTCTTTTGTTAATTAGTCATGTATCTTCCTTTTATCCATTTGTATAAGCCCTTTATTTTTCCTCAGTTTTCTTGCCTTCTAATTTTATAACTTTTAGGACACAAAAACACTTTAAATTTTTATAAATTCAAATGATCAATATTTAATTTTTTTCCATATTTTAGGATGATTCTGATCGTGAGATCTGGTCAATATTCTTGTTTGTTTTATTTAATGTTTTAATCCATTTGGAATTTATTTAGGAATATGGTGTAATGCAAGGATCTCAAAATTAATTAATTTTTTTCATATAGCTAACTATTGTCCTGGCCCATTATTTCCCTATTAGTTTATGACATCACCTCAATTTATTAAAAATTTTTAACATAATAGTATTTGTTTCCAAGCCACAGTTTTGCATTCATCTGTCCTTTCATCAGTACCGTAATACTCTAATGATCCTAGTTGTATAATATTTTGTAATCCAGAGGGCAATTCTCCCTCTCAATACTCTTTATTTCTCACATATATATATATATTTTTTTTTTTTTTTGAGACAGAATTTCGCTCTGTCATCCAGGTCTGGGCTCACTGCAACCTCTGCCTCCCAGTTTCAGGCAATTGTCTTGGCTCAGCTTTTCGAGTAGCTGGGACTACAGGAGCGCACCACCACAGCAGGCTAATTTTTGTATTTTTGTAGAGACAGGGTTTTGCCATGTTGGCCAGGCTGGTCTTGAACTCCTGACCTCAGGTGATCCACCCGCGTTGGCATCCCAAAGTGCTGGGATTACTGGCGTGAGCCCGGCCTATTTCTAATGAATTTTATAATAATTTGTATAGTTATTCGACTTTCCCCTAAACCTTATGTTTAATAAAAAACTAATGCATGGTTATCATAACAAACACAAGTAATGTAATACAAGTGTAAACAAAATATATAATGTTAGAATCCTTCAGCCCACCCCAATCTTTCTTTCCAGACTTAGCCACTATAGCCCAGATATTTCTTCTTGTATATATATTCTGAATTTTTCCAAATTTCTTTACTTTTCCAGTGATGGAAAGGGAGGAATCACCCTCCTTTTCAATCCCCATGTATGCAATCTGTCCCCTTAACCTGTATAACTCCAGAAATTCTAGTCCCCTCTCTCAATATTTCTAAGTACCAAGGCGTGTTCTCTTTTCCACGAGGTCATCATCAGTCTCGTTGCCACCTCTTGTTCCAGACTGCTCTAGTGTTCTCTATCAACCACCTCAACTCATAACCACTTCTCGAGGCCACAGCCCCAGATTCTTCTGCTTTGACCCGAAACACAGACATAGTGCCTCCGTTTATCCCCCAGTCACAGCTAAGACATGGCTGGCATGTTTAACAGACTTGTAAAAGGATTGGCCGGGCGCGGTGGCTTACCCCTGTAATCCTAGTGCTTTGGGAGGCTGAGGCGGGCGGATCCCCTGAGGTCTGGGTTCCAGAACAGCCCGACCAACAGGGAGAAAACCCATCTCTACTAAAAATCCAAAATTAGCCGGGAGTGGTGGCATATGCCTGTAATCCCAGCTACTCGGGAGGCTGAGGCAGGAGAATTGCTTGAACCCAGGAGGCGGAGGTTGCAGTGAGCCGAGATGGCACCATTGCACTCCAGCCTGGGCAACAAGAGTGAAACTCCGTCTCAAAAAAATAAATAAATACAAGAATTTAGCCTGAGAAGATACAGACAGAAAACTTTTAACTTGATATGAGATAAACTTGCTCCTATGGTCCCCCAATAGAGGTCCCTACTGGCTATCTCTTGCCTTAAGCCTTACCCCAGCCCTTTAATGACACTTCCAAGCGCCTTCTCATCCCTTCCATATGAGGGTCACTTCTTGCTGGTTCTCTTTTCTCTAGTACAGGGCCCAATTCGATCAGCCAGTGAAATAAAAATTGCCCTTGAACATCTCTTAGTTTAAAATATATAGTATGTATGTTTTTGTATATGTAATTCTGTAAAAGTATTTTTTTATTCCTCTAATTCTTATTTACTTATTTGGTAGGGATGAGCTCTCACTATGCTGCCCAGGCTGGTCTCGAACTCCTGACCTCAAGCGGTCCTTCTACCTCAGCCTCCCAAAGTGCTGGGATTACAGGCATAAGCCACTGTGCCTGGCCCTCTAATTCTTTATCATTAAAGTTTCTCGTCAGGCTTTAGTTGTTCACTTTCTTCCTCAAGGAAACCATCTTGCCTGGTCACTTAATCAACAAATTTCACTTTTTTTTTTTTTTTGGTGAATAGTTGGGAAACCTTAAAATCATTCAGATATTCTTTTCAGGACTCCTGGCACTCTGCCTCGGGTGGGTACACGCTGCCCTAGTAATGCGTGCTATTTAAATGATTGCTTCTCTTTCTTTTTTAAGCCAATGGTTGAATTCTTTTAAATTAAATGCCTGTGATATGACGACCAGATAATCTTTGCAGAAGACAACCTTTACACTAGCAGACAGAATCATTAACATTTCAGTCTGAAAGCATCTTGACTCGGGCTTCTCCAAGAAGAGTAGGAAAATAGACACTGCCAAACTGTCCTTCAAAAATGTGCTCAAGGAGGGAGGTTGGTGTAACAGGAACAGAGTGAGTGGTGAGGAGAATAATCGGGGATGATGTAGTCCCTAGCAAGAATATGATATAAATCATGATAAGGATTTGGGCTTTTACTCCGAAATGAAAGGGGAGTAGTTACATGGTGGGGTTTTGTTTTTTTTTGTTTTTTTGTTTTTTTGTTTTTTTTTTGAGACAGAGTCTTGCTCTGTCACCTGGGCTGGAGTGCAGTGGCGCGATCTCAGCTCACTGCAACCTCTGCCTCCTGGGTTCAAGCAATTCTCCTGTCTCAGCCTCCAGAGTAGCTAGGATTACAGGCGTGCACCACCATGGCCAGCCATTTTGTATTTTTAATAGAAATGGGGTTCTACCATGTTGGCCAGGCTGGTCTTGAACTCCTGACCTCAAGTGATCCGCCGGCCCAGCTCCCAAAGTTCTGGGATTACAAGTATGAGCCACCGCACCCAGCCTACATGGTGGGTTTTAAGCAAAGGAGTGACATGATCTGACTTATGTGTTAGCAGGAACACTCACATTGCTGTGTGGTGAATAGACTGACTGGGGGTGGGGAAAAATCTACCGTGTGGAGTAGCGGAGGAGATGATGAGTATCATTCAAGTCTTGAGAAAAGCTGCAGTAGCAAGAGCCAACCAGAAGATGGAAGAGGGATCCTGGGTGCTTCTATATGGAGTTGATCTATCTGAGGGTGCAGAGGCCGACTCTAAGATGCTGTGGTGCATCTCCCCAATTCAGGATGGAAAATGTTGACTGCAAAGGAGTCTCAGTTGAATCTCTCTCTCTGGGAACTGCCCTTGGCTGAAGGTGGCTGCCTCACCCAAGGGTACAGCTCCCTCCTGAGAGACAACCTGCATCCAGTGACTACTCAAGGAACGGTGTAAAGATGTGGGTAACTCTGAAGAGCCATCCCGTGGCCTCTCTTGCAACTGCGTCACAGTCCAACTTCTCCCTCCGCCCAATTCTGCTTTCCTCACTCCCTTACCGGCATTCCCAAGAGCAGTCCCCAGTAAACCTGTATACAACCCGTGTTTCAGAGTATGTTTCCATGGGAACCTGACCTAAGACAGCGATTCTGTTAAATGACATGAAAGATGATGTCATTTCTCTACCTAAAACCCTGCAAATGGCTCTCCAGTTCTGTTCTCTCACAGGGAAACCAGAGTCCCTTACAGTGGCCTGCAGGCCGTTGTCATCTGTAGGCCGTTGTCATCTGCAGGCCGTTGTCATCTGTAGGCCATTGTCATCTGCAGGCCGTTGTCATCTGCAGGCCTGAACCCCTCTAACCTCATCCTCTATTCCCCTCCTTCTCATTCAGTTTGCTCCAGAACCATCCTGGCCTCCTTTCCATCCCGAGAATAGGACAGGTACATTCTTTCCTCGGGATCTTTGCACTTTGTTTCTTCTGCTCTTCTTCCAGATATTTTCATAGCTTATTCCTTCTTCTTCTTCAAGTCAACTAAAATGTTGCCTTTTCCATGAGGCCTTCCCTGTCCCTTCTATTAAAAAACCCTGCTCCACCATCCCCAATCTCTATTACTCTATTCTGTATCACTTATCACTCTTTTTTTGTTTTGTTTTGTTTTGAGACAGTCTCACTCTGTTGCCCAGGCTGGAGTGCAGTGGTGTGATTTCGGCTCACTGCAACCTCCACTTCCCGGGTTCAAGCGATTCTCCTGCCTCACCCTCCTGAGTAGTTGGGATTACAGGTGCATACTACCATGCCCAGCTAATTTTTGTATTTTTAGTAGAGGTGGGGTTTCACCATGTTGGTCAGGCTGGTCTCAAACTCCTGACCTTGTGATCCGCCTGCCTCGGCCTCCCAAAGTGCTGGGATTAATGGCGTGAGCCACTGCGACCTGCCATGTGTCACTTATCACTCTTAAACATACTGTTCAATTTACTTATTTATTTTGTTTGCGGTTTATTGTCTTACTGTCTACACAGGGCAGAAATTTTCCCTCCCGTTTTGTTCCCTGATATATCCCAGAACCTGGAGAAGTCACTGGCATTTTGTAGGTGCTCCATAAATATTTATTGAACAAACAGTGAATGAATGAGTGAATCAATGAATTTGGGAATCTTTAGCAAGTTGATTGCAGTAGAACTCACAAGGTGAGATTACCCAGGCATAGTCTGTAGAGCGATGATGAAGGGAGACACCAACATTTAGGTGTGAGCAGAGGAAGTTAAAATTATAAAGGACATTGACAAGAATCCAGACTATAGGAGGAAAACAGGAGGATGTGTCACCCAAGACAAGATGTAAGATGGCAGAGGGAGTGCAGACGACAGCGTACAACCTGACCAACATGGTGAAACACTGTCTCTAAAAAAAACAAAAACAAAAATTAGCCGGGCGTGGTGGCTCATGCCTGTTGACAACATATGAAGCAAGATCAAGGCAGAAATGTGTCTGCTGATTTGAGAGTGGCCAGGTAACTAGCAGTTTCGAGGAATAGGTAGAGCAGAAGGGAGAGTACTGTGAGTTGAGGAGTGAATGAGAAGTAATGAAGTGGAAATGGTGTGTGCATTACTATTTTGAGAAGTTTGGTCATGAAGATCAGAACGAGAAAGAATGGGAGCTGGGAAGAGGGCTCTGATTGAAGAAGTGTGTGTGTGCATTTAGATGGGAGAGATAAGCCTGACTTGAGTATTTTAAGTGATGTATGGAAACAGCCAGTAACAACCATATAATTTGTAATCTAAATCAAGGTTTTGAGAGAAAAAGGGGGCAGGACAAATGCTAAAATGGATAAATGTCAAGACAACAGGAACTATCTGCAAACCAGACCATATGGTCTCCCTGTCCACGCCTCAAGTTTTCCATGCAAGTCATTTATCCTTACACTTAGTGGGCTATTTTTTTCTGACGGTAGGTGGCAGTAAAGAGCTTGCCTCTTTTTGCCTCGTTTGGTTTGGTTTGGTTTGGTTTTTGAGAAAAATTTAATTAGAGATTTTGGATGGCAACTAAGATTGGTAAAGGTTAGCTCCACAGGCTTAAACTCAAAATAGGAGATTTCAACTTAGATTTTACTTTGGGAAAATTCATACACGTTTTTGTGAAAAAGAATATCTCTTGGTTCTCAAAGAAAAAATAATTTTTGGGTAATTATAAAATATGTTGCATTTTCACACTGAGCCATTTTATCTTTAAAATGATGAACTTCCATCTTCTTCCTAATACAGAATAATTTCCATTAGTTTTATCACTTCTTTTTTTTTGAGACAGAGTATCGCTCTGTTGCCCAGCCTGGAGTGCAATGGCACAATCTCGGCTCACTGCAACCTCCGCCTCCTAGGTTCAAGAGATTCTCCTGCCTCAGCCTCCCGAGTGGGATTACAGGTGCCTACCACCACGCCTGGCTAATTTTTGTATTTTTTTTTAGTAGAGATGGGGTTTCACCATGTTAGCCAGGCTGGTCTTGAACTCCTGACCTCAAATGATCTGCCCACCTCGGCCTCCCAAAGTGCTTGGATTACAGGTGTGAGCCACTGTGTCTGGCCTATCCCTTCAGTTTTAGCACACGCATTGCTATATGCACACATTTCTTATTTGTGTATATAAATTTTCAGTCAAGTCTAGCTTCAGTAGACTTTGGGGGACCTTGCTATTGAAGATTATAAACATTTTAAAAAACTATAGGCCAGGCGCCATGGCTCACGCCTGTAATCCCAGCACTTCAGGAGGCTGAGGCGGGCGAATCACTTGAGGTCAGGAGTTCGAGACCAGCCTGGCCAACATGGTGAAATGCCATCTCTAAAAAAAATAACAAAAATTAGCCTGGCGTGGTGGCGTGCACCTGTAATCCCAGCTACTCAGGAGGCTGAGGCAGGAGAATCACTTGAACCTCAGGAGGCAGAGGTTGCAGTGAATCGAGATCACATCACTACACTCCAGCCTGCTGGGCAACAGAGTGGGACTCTGTCTCAAAAAAAGAAACAAAACAAACAAACCAAAAACCTATGACACATAACAGCAAATTTCTTGTTATCAAAGATAGGACTAGAGATGTCTAAAGATAAGAAGTTTTAGGAGTTCGGAATGGTAAAGTGAATGAGCACACCTTATTCAGGGAATCTTGGCAGAATCTAATGTCATAAAATTTAAAATTCAGAAATCTTTGTCAGAGAAAAAACAGAATCAAAATATTATCTGCAGATCCAGCAAACAAATTTGAGTTCAAAACTCAGATTTGCATTTATTAGCTGTGTGGCCTTGAGCATGGCAAGCACTTTACCTCTAGGTCTCAGATTCCTAATCTGTGAAATGAGACTCACAGGATATACTTCAGTGGATTGTTTTGAATATTAAATGAGAAAACATATTGGTAAAATTTATACATGTTATTTTCATTCTTTTCCCTAAACATGAATATGAAGACATCCAGATTAAAATGTGGCATATGCAACCTCAACCTTTGGAAAATATATCTCAAATGATTAAGGAAAAATATTAATTTTAAGAATTGCTTTAAAACAACAAAACCAAAAAAGCCTTGGTCATACCTTAATTCAGTAATTCTTCAACTTTACGTCTCAGATCCAATATTCTAGGCACTGCTTGACACAGAGAGCAGTTTTCTTACAAGGAAATTTGGGGACCAGAGGGGGTTCTTTGCATGTTTGGATAAGTGCTAGAATTCAAATTCCTTCTCCTGAGAGTCCTCTGCCTTTTTCGTTTAATGAACTCGGTTGCTTTCTTTATTTCCTCTTTCTATCCTCATTAGCGTAAAGCAAACTCTAAAAGCAATCCACAATATCAATCACATCAAATATCATGGAATGTGGCCTCAGTCCTGGAAGATGTCTACTCCATATAGGTGACTTGGTACATTACAGTAGATTATAGTAGCTGAAAAGTATCCTTTGGCCAGCCATTGTCAAAACTAGAGTCACTAATGAGATCACAAATGAGAAGCATTCATTGTCTCTATAAGACTTCCTAAAATGCCCTTATTATTAAGGGAAGTCCTGGCTTTCTGCCAGTATCACAGACTAATTTGTTCATTAGCTGGTTGACTTCTTGGTTCTTGCATATTTCAATGGCTAAAGTTTGTAGTAAGTTTGAGAAATATAAAGAGAGGAGTATGGGGAGGAGAGCTGGCGGGAGGTGGGTGCTGGAAATGATTAAGACCACTGGAAGGGAAAAAAATGGGGTATGATATCACCATGGAAACGAAGTTTACGTATTGCAAAAATTTGCCCAAGTTGGATAGCATTCATTCATTCATTCATTCATTCATTCATTCATTCAACAAACATTTACTCGGTGTCTTTGCATGCCTAGAACCATCAAAGTTACAAATGAGAACCAAACAAGCTTGGTTCTTGTCTTCACGGAGCTTCCATTCTAGTGGGGGAAGGTACACAAAGAACAAACACAAGTAGGTTTCCCCCTGGAAAGAATAACTGGCAGGTTTGCAGGCATTACCACCTAATTTCTTTTTAAAAAGAAACCTAAAGACTTCTTTGGGTGTCCAAAGGTCTAAAATTTTAGAAGTTCAAAATGGCAAAGTGAAAGAGCACACATTATTCAGGCAATCTTGGCAGTATCTAATGTCATAACATTTAAAAATCAGAAATCTCTGTAAGAGGAAAAATAGAATCAAATTACTCTCTGTAGGTCCAGCAGACAAATTTGAGTTCAAAACCCAGATTTGCATTTTTATAATTATTTACTTTAGTAAATTACTTACAATTTACTAAAATTATAAATAATTATAGTAAAACAAAAAAATTAACAATGAGCCAGCCTCCCAGTGTCGCTCAGGAGACCTCACGGCTAAATAAGTAATCACTGCTATCCCTTCCTCTCCAGCAGTCTCCATCAACTTGTTCTGCATTCAGAGACTGTTCTTGGGCCTTCCCATACGCAGCTCACATTTGAAACTCCTGCCCCTGGTGCCTTAATGCATCTGACTGGCAGCCACACAGCCCCTCCATGTGGCTCAGTTTCAGTGGGTAGGTAGGGAAATGCCGATTTGTTTGCATTGTGCCCCACAGGCTGATTACAGTAAAGGCTGTCACACAGAGCTCTTGCATACCTAACAGGAGACTTGGTGACAGTGAAACCAAGAATGACCAATGACTGTGTGTAAAATGAATCAAGGTGAGGTGTATTGAAAGCAAAGAGGTCAATTCAAAGGCTTAGAAATAATCCAGACAGTAATCAAGGAAGAAAGCAGCCATGTCACTGGGAAGAAAAACTTCTTGGGACACTCAGTATATTCAACACGATGAAGTAATTCGCCCTGTGACATGGACAAAAGGAGCTTTCCATGCTCTAATGGGCAGTAGGATTCCATAAAGTGAATCACGTTTAAAAGAGACACTCTTAAAAAATGAAATACGTGGCCATAATCCCAGCACCTTGGGAGGCCGAGGAAAGTGGATCACGAGGTCAGGAGTTCGAGACCAGCCTGGCCAACATAGTGAATCCCTGTCTGTACTAAAAATACAAAAAATTAGCTGGGCATGGTGGTGGGCGCCTGTAATCCCAGCTACTCAGGAGGCTGAGGCAGGAGAATCACTTGAATCAGGGAGGCAGAGGTTGCAGTGAGCCGAGATCGCGCCATTACACTCTAGCCCAGGCAACAGTGGGAGACTCCGTCTCAATGAAAAATAAATAAATAAATGAATAAATAAATATTGTTCTAATGAGCAAATTTAAAAAATCCTAAGTAAAATTTGGTCTCTTTCTCATTAGTGCTTAATGGTCTTCAATCACCCCAGTCCTACTTTGAGTATATACTAAATCCCTTTCAAGGACAGATTCTAGACTTTTCCCACTTTGGCTCATCTGAAAGGTTTCTAAAAGGATTGGTCCTTAATATTTCTTTTCACAACTTAATAGCGTGATTTGAGTTTATGCACACAGAAAGAGATTTGTTCGTACCCTCCTCTCCTCTGATTTTTAAACCTTGTTCCCCTTGTTCATTCTGTATGTTGAGATGTGATCTTGCTTTTAGGAGATCAAAGAAAAAGAAAAACAAGTTTCTCTCACATGTTTGTCTTCTCTTTAACAATCCACATTGTTTTTATATCGGCCCAAGATACACCATTAAAAGTTCTGCAAAGCTTTTAAACTTTGCAGAGTAGTTTTAGACTGTGTGCAGAGAAGTCTTGTGCCAAATTGCAGAGCCTGTTTTTTTTTTTTTTTTTTTTGAGACGGAGTCTCGCTCCCTTGCCCAGGCTGGAGTGCAGTGGCACGATCTCGGCTCACTGCAAGCTCCGCCTCCTGGGTTCACGCCATTCTCCTGCCTCAACCTCCCAAGTAGCTGGGACTACAGGCGCCCACCACCACGCCCGGCTAATTTTTTGTATTTTTAGTAGAGACGGGGTTTCACTGTGGTAGCCAGGATGGTCTCGATCTCCTGACCTCGTGATCCGCCCGCCTCGGCCTCCCAAAGTGCTGGGATTACAGGCGTGAGCCACTGCGCCCGGCCCAGAGCCTGTTGTATAAGAAATTAATTTCAAATGCTAGCAGAGAGGATGGCATTATGTTTTCAAAATGATGCTACATTAATTCAGCAAGAAAAGTTTAGAGCCATTCTGAGTCAGAGGACAGGATATTTTAATCTTAAAAGATAAAAGGGCAATTCCAAATAGCTGATTATGCATAGGGTTCATCATTCATATTGATGTAAGTATTATGGGGCATTTCCTCTGTGATGACAGGGCTAGATTCTACTCACACACACTAATAAACAGTTTTTCCTCCTGGTTTATACACAACGAGGTGAATGTCTCTTTCCCCTGATGAACTAGTGTTTGGAAACAAAAACTATAATTATCTTCAGTGGAGATGGCAATTGGATACCCCAGAGAATTTGTCTGATCTTTATAAGGTATTCAGCAGTGAAAATGGGGTTTTGCAAAAAGCCAGAAGACTTGCTTTGGAATCCTAACTGTGTCACTTACTAAAATTTTGACTTTAGATAAGCTATCTAATTTCCCTGAGCCTTAGCTTCCTTGTCTGCAGAATGTGAAAAATAATGACCACCCCATAGGATGAAAAAAAAAAATTAAATCTAACGCCATATGTGAAAGTACTCAGCATTAGTCAGTCCTTAGAAAATGTTAGTCTCAGCCTGGCACGGTGGCTCATGCCTGTAATCCCAGCAATTTGGGAGGCCGAGGCAGACAGATCACGAGTCAGGAGTTTGAGACCAACCTGGCCAACATGGTGAAACCCCATCTCTACTAAAAATACAAAAAAATTAGCCAGGCATGGTGGCATGCGCCTGTAATCCCAGCTACTCGGGAGGCTGAGGCAGGAGAATCGCTTGAACCTGGGAGGCGGAGGTTGCAGTGAACCGAGATCGCGCCATTGCACTCTAGCCTGGGTGACAGAGCAAGACTCCATCTCGAGACAATGTTAGTCTCCCCTTTCCTCTGTGAGCAGGAGGAATGAAGAACATAAAGACGGTTATTAGCTACTGCTGTGTCACAAACCACATGAAAACTCAGGACCAACTCTCAGCACTGATTTTTTTTTTTTTTTTGAGACAGTCTCACTGTGCTGCCCAGGTTGGAGCGTGGAGTTCAGTGGTATGATTAGAGCTCACTGCACACTTGAACTTCTGGATTTAAGTGATCCTCCCCATTCAGCCTCCTGATTAGCTAAGACTACGGGCACGCCACCATGCCAGGCTAGTGTTTTTGTTTGTTTGTTTTAGAGATGAGGTTTCCTATGTTGCCCAGGCTGGTCTGGAACTCCTGGCCTCAAACAATCCTCCCACTTCGGCCTCTCAAAGCACTGGGATTATAGGTGTGGTGCACCTCCAGCAGGAGGTATCTGGACCCATTCACTATCATGAAAACGGCATGGGAAAGACCTGCCCCCATGATTCAATCATCTCCCACTGGGCCCCTCCCACACCACGTGGGAATTATGGGAGCTACAAGGTGAGATTTGGGTGGGGACATAGAGCCAAACCATATCATTGACCTGCTGGCACCATCAAATATTTCTGCATGATGAAATTTCAGCTCAGTTTTAAGTGTCTATGCCTACAATCATCATGGGACTCTTTCTAACTATACACTGTACATCACATACAACACCTGCATCCTTCTCTGCCACACAGATCTGCTGAGATTTGCATTATGGCTGAATTAGCCGAAATTTACATGCCAAAGGGGCATCGATATTTTTCATCTGCTGCTTTCTACGTGTAGGACAAGGCTTATATTACTGGTCCTACACTTTCCTAGAAACCAGAAACATCGGTATTATGTTACTATTTATAGTAATAGCAACAACATTTATAGGTTGTGTCCTACCATGAGGACAAGTATCTTTTTGAGGGGCAACAGTAATTACAAATCTATTGTCAGCTGTTCCATACATTGGCACCAGCCTGGTACAATAAACTTAGGAGGCTTTTCAGTTGACAAAGCCACCTCACACCATTCTTCACCTTCCACTTCATCTTACCTTTCATTATCATGGACCTAGTAGCCATCTACCCTCTATTTCTTCCAGAGACAGGATCCAACAACCTGTCAGGAGTTTCATCAGATTCTGGCAAAATTCCATTCCATCCCTACTACACAATCAAAGACATTTTGGGTCTAATTCTCCTTCTACTATTACTACTTATATTAGTTCTATTTCACCTGACCTACTAGGAGACCCAGATAATGACACTGTGGCAAACCCCCTCAACACACCACCTGACATTAAACCAGAATGAGACTTTTTATTTGCCTATGCAATTCTATGCTCTATTCCCAATAAACTAGGAGGGGTACTAGCCCTAGTCTTCTCTATTGTTATCCTAGCTATTGTTCCAATATCTAAACAGCAAAGCATAATATTCTGGCCGTCAAGCCAATACTTATTCTCAGCATCATGCACTCTACCCATGTAACAGACCTGCATATGTACCCCTGAATCTAAAAAGTTGAAATTATAAAAAGTAAAAACATATACATACATATATGTATACATGTACCTACACCTATGCAAAAAATATGTAGTGTTGGCTGGGCATGGTGGTTTGCATGGTGGTTTGCACCTGTAATCCCAGCACTCTGGGACGCCAAGGCAGGTGGATCACTTGAGGTCAGGACTTCAAGACTGGCCTGGCCAACATGGCGAAACCCTGTCTCTACTAAAAATACAAAAATTGGCGGGTCATGGTGGTGGGAGCTTGTAGTCCCAGCTACTTGGGAGGCTGAGGCAGGAGAATCACTTAACCCGGGAGGTGGAGGTTGCAGTGAGCCAAGATCATGCCACTGCACTCCAGCCTGGGCAACAGAGTGAGACTCTGTCTCAAAAAAAAAAAAAAAAAAAAAAAAAAAATATATATATATATATATATATATATAGAGAGAGAGAGAGAGAGAGAGAGAGAGAGAGAGAGTATTATTATTTTGTTTTTTTAAATTCACCTGAATAGCATACTTTATATATATTGTTCTACATACTTGGTCTTCTTGCTCAACATTGTATTTTTGATACTTGTCCTATTTGGTATATGTAGACCTAATGGGTTCCTTTTAACTACCGTCTAATGTGAGATTGCACCATTGGATGAATGGGCCACAGTCGATTTTTGCATTTTTCTACTGATGAACATGTATATAATATTTTTTATCCTCTAGGCTCAATTTAAGTGCTTTGCAAATTCTCATTCATGTATCTTTATAACAGGTAGTAGTTTTGCCTTCCTTATTTTACAGATGAGGAAACTGAGACACAGAGAAGCTAAGTTACCCACTCAAGGTCACAAGGCTAGTAAGCTAGTAAGTGACCTAGACAGGTCACACACCTGTCACATCAGAATCTGTGTCCTAAACCTGGGCTTGTTGCCTCTTTGAGGTATTTCCATTGCTCACTGTAACAGTCCTGTTTACTTATTCTCATGTCCACTGCCATGTGTACACGAAAGTTTCTTTCCAGTTATACCTAGAAACAGGATTGCTGGGTTCACATAATATCTTTCATCATGGTGAGTTTTTTTTTTTTGTTTTGCTTTGTTTTTTTGAGCACTGTTACCCAGGCTGGAGTGCAGTGGCACGATCTCGGCTCACTGCAACCTCCACCTCCCTGGTTCAAGCGATTCTCCTGCCTCAGCCTCCCGAGTAGCTGGGACTACAGCTGTGCACCACCACGCCCAGCTAATTTTTTGTATTTTTAGTAGAGACGGGGTTTCACCATGTTGGCCAGGCTGATCTCGAACTCCTGACTTCGGGCGATCTGTCCGCCTCGGCCTCCCAAAGTGCTGGGATTACAGGCGTGAGCCACCGCGCCCGGCCTGCATACTTATTTGTATGTCCACCGCCATGTGCAAATGAAGGTTTCTTTCCAGTTATACCTAGAAGCAGGATTGCTGGGTTCACATACTATCTTTCATCATGGTGAGTTTTTGCAGTGTGAACTAGAGTGGGGAATAAAGTGTCATAGGAACAATTCTGCGGCTTTGAAGGACTTCAGAGCCGTTAAATAGTTACTTCAATGTTTTATCCAGCTCTTAACTTTAGGCTCTTTTCTGTCGTGGTAATCATCTGAGATGAGGTTAATAGAATATGAAACTACTTTGAGAGAAGACAGAAGACAGAATGGCCATGTCACATAAGTAACTCTTCTGAATGGTTCATCTCAATGTACTACATTTATTTATTTTTTGTTTCGCTTTTTTTTTTTTTTTTCTGAGGTGGAGTCTCGCTCTGTTGCCCAGGCTGGAGTGCAGTGGCGCCATCTCAGCTCACTGCAAGCTCCGCCTCCCGGGTTCACGCCATTCTCCTGCCTCAGCCTCCCGAGTAGCTGGGACTATAGGCGCCCGCCACCACGCCCGGCTAATTTTTTGTATTTTTAGTAGAGACCGGGTTTCACCGTGTTAGCCAGGATGGTCTCGATCTTCTGACCTCGTGATCCGCCCGCCTCGGCCTCCCAAAGTGCTGGGATTACAGGCGTGAGCCACCACGCCCGGCTGTTTTGCTTTTTGAGACAGTCTCACTCTGTTGCCCAGGCTGGAGTGCAGTGGCGTGATTTCAGCTCACTGCAACCTCTGCTTCCTGGGTTCAAGTGCTTCTCCTGCCTCAGCCTCCTGGGTAACTGAATTACAGATGTGGGCCACCAGGCCTGGGGCTAATTTTTGTATTTTTAGTGGAGACAGGGGTTTCACCATGTTAGCCAGGCTGGTCTCGAAATCCTGAACTCAAGTGATCTGCCCCCTTTGGCCTCCCAAAGTGCTGGGATTATGGGCGTGAACCGTCATGCCTGGCCACAAATGTACTTTAATACAGCTGCATGTTGCTGTGTGATCTATTCTAGAATTGAACATTTTCTCTGTAAAATTTCTATATATCTAACTCTATATATATAATTTCTATATATCTAGCCTATATATCTAGATATATAATTTCTATATATCTAGCCTATATATCTAACTCAGTCTGCTAAACCACTGAGCATCATGAAAAATGAAAAGCAGATTCTGTATGATGGCCTAACTCAACAATTCCAAACACATTTTTGCACTATTACGAGCTTTTGGTTTTATAAACTTGCAGTATATTTGATGTAGGTCTTTATATGTTTGTGTAAGTTGGCTGTAAATGCCAAGATACACTTAATCTCTTACCATCATGCCATTCTCATTCAGATATAAACTATAGCAACCTCACTTGGAAAAGAATCAACACACTTGTTGCCGTAGTAATCAAGGCCACTCATTAAGTTTAAAAAAGCTATCTTACAGATGAGATATCCCCAATGCCCTTACCCATCAAATGGAAATAGAATTGAAGGGCTTTTGGTTAATCCTTCCTGAAGACCTTTTTGCTTTGGCTTAGTCTAAAATAGCAAACACATAAACTATAACACACCTCTCAGAATTGGTAAGATCCATACTGCTCTTTCCCCAACATTGGTCCATTTCTGGGGATTCTTCAGGGACACACAAAAGAAAGAACCTGTTTGTGTGTCTGGTTTAAAGGAATCCTGTCTGCATGGGCTTGCGTTTGAAGGCTGGTTCTCAGCTCACCAGTTGAACAGTTCTAATCACATCTCTGTGAGCCATTGTTTCCTCATTGTAAAATGGGGATAGCACCCACCTCATTGACTAACTCGTTCATATACGTTGGTTCAACATCTATTGAGTACCTCAAGTCCCTATTCTCAAGTTGTTCACAGTCCAGTAGGGGAAATAGATATATTTAATGATATGGAAGAAATCATAATTTTTAGCAGGTTGCAAGAGGCAGTTTTGTTGGATGAGTGCTTTGATATTCCCTTTCCGAAGCTAGGGCTCCATGACTTGTTAAGTAATTGGTGCATTGTGCTGAAAGAAACCAACTGTGCTGCCCTGTGTGAATTACTAAAAGGAATGCATCTGTTCCTGGGAGGCGGGGAGGGAGGGCAGAAGGGATCTGGCCCTGCAGTGGGGTGGGGTGGAGGAGCACCCTCAGTTGGTGGGGGCAGACATGTCCAAGGGAACTTATAAAACTGTGGGTGACATAAAACCCTCTTCCATCACCCCTGTAAAGTCTCCAGCAAAATCTACATTGGCCACTAGTGCTTTAGGTGTAAATAAGATTCTGGAGAATTCAAAGGCAGCCAGACATCATAATCATACATTATGCAAAAGTGGTTTCCAAACTGCAGGTCAGGATTTTTCGGTGCATGTGAAAGCAATTTGGTGCACCATGCCCGGCATTCAACAAGGGAAATAGAACAGTATAGAAAACTTCAGGGCACCTTGCAAATAGTAGAGGTAATGATGCTTTCTGAAACTTTTTTATGTAGGTCCTCAGCTGTGGAATAAAATGTTTTTCTTTTTGTAGGTCATGGTCAAAAAGAGAGAATCTCGGTATTATAATACATTGTGCTGATTACAATAGCAATTTTTTTTTTTTTTTTTTGAGACAGAGTCTCTCTCCTGTCGCCCAGGCTGGAGTGCATTGGCGCGATCTCGGCTCACTACAACCTCTGCCTCCTGGGTTCAAGCGATTCTCCTGTCTCAGCATCCCGAGTAGCTGGGACTTCAAGCGCCGGCCACCATGCCCAATTAATTTTTGTATTTTTAGTAGAGATGGGGTTTCACCATGTTGGCCAGGCTGGTCTCAAACTCCTGACCTCAGGTGATCCGCCCACCTGGGCCTCCCAAAGTGCTGGGATTACAAGCGTAAGCCACCACGCCCAGGCTACAATAGTAATCTTGATGGCTCACTCTGCTCTCACTGGTCCCTAGAATCCTTATAAAAGGGGTCTTGGTTCAACAGTTCCCTGGGTTGAAGACTAGCTTCTACCTCCTGTTTTCTCCAATTCTCTGTTTTAAAGTCCTTTGGATCTTCCTTTTGCATCCTTGCAGAGCCTCTTTGGGCTCCTGTCTCGGCCCAGCTCGCCTTGCTCTGAGGGTTGCCTTTGATCTGGTCAGAACTCCACTCCACTTCTGCCAGCTCGACTCCCACGTTGGAGGCAGGAAATAGCACTCTCTTGTTCTTGCATGTATCAAGTCCTTTGCCTGCTCTCTGCTCCTACAGCTCTTTGGCCTGGCTAATTCCTACTTATTTTCAGGTCTTAGCAGAAATGGAGCATTTACAATGAAGCTAATGAAGCTTAAGCTTCAGGGTCTGTGCCAAACCCTGACACCCAATTTTGTAATCTGGTATTCATTTTCTTAGGGTTGGATTTCATGAGGCCTCATGAAACCTGAATCCACTTCTGGGTCTCAGTTTAGAAAACCTCACCTCCTAACTCCTTGCAGTGTGGGTGCTGATCTCCTATACATGCCCTTGGGTCCCCTGCACCCACTCCCAGGACAGCCCTGACCACACTCCCCCATAGGCTTGCCAGTCTTCACCCCGAAACTCACATAAAGGAACTATGCCAGTCCTTGCTGGTGAGTGCCAAGGTGCCCTCATAGTAGACAATAAATAAAAATGTGGTAAATGTCTGAACTTCATAAGTTGATTTGGGGAAACAATGCTTTTTATGCTTCCCAAAGTATTCCATAAAACTGCTGACAGGGGCCGGGCATGGTGGCTCATGCCCGTAATCCCAGCATTTTGGGAGGCCGAGGCAGGCGGATCACTTGAGGTCAGAAGTTCAAGACCAGCCTGGCCAACATGGCGAAACCCCATCTCTACTGAAAATACAAAAATTAGCTGGGTGTGGTGGTGCACGCCTGTAATCCCAGGTACTCAGGAAGCTGAGGCAGGAAAATTGCTTGAACCCCAGAGGTGGAGGCTGCAGTGAGCCGAGATCATGTCACTGCACTCCAGCCTGGGCAACAGAGCGAGACCCTGTCTCACAACAAAACAAAAAAAACACCAAACCAAAACAAAAAATCCTGCTGATAGCAATGAAGAGGAATGAGGATTAGCCAAGAAGAAAGTTTCAGAACACTGACCTCCCCTGCCCTGGCCCGTGTTTGTGGAGTGCTGCTGTTCCTGATTGTGCTCCATTTCTGAGAGGTTAAAGGAATTTGTGTCAATTCCACCAAGTAAAGATAGCTTAATTGTCTGCCCCACCACCTAAGGATCTCTCTGGAGCAGATATTTTTATTAGAAAATCAGAAACAGGCCAGGCGCGGTGGCTCATGTCTATAATCCCAGCACTTTGGGAGGCCAAGGCAGGTGGATCACTTTTGGTAAGGAGTTCAAGACCAGTCTGGCCAACATGGTGAAACCCCATCTCCACTAAAAATACAAAAATTAGCTGGGGGTGGTGGTGCGTGCCTGTAATCCCAGCTACTCGAGAGGCTGAGGCAGGAGAATCGCTTGAACTCAGGAGGTGGAGGTTGCAGTGAGCCAAGATTGCACCACTGCACTCCAGCCTGGGCGACACAGTGAGACTCCATCTCAAAAAACAAACAAACAAGCAAACAAAAAACCAGAAACAAAAGATATAGCATCTCCTCAAACCGAAGAGCTGTCAAATTTGTCAATTTTTCTTTTGCTTAGAGTTCATGATATTAAATGATTTGTCTTTTCCTTTCCTTTTCTTACTGAAGCCTTCAGTTAAAGCAGTCTGACTCTAATCTAGCCCTGACCCAGTTACTCTTGCTCAGGTGCAGCCCTGGGAGCTCTGGGGTCTCCTTTCTGTTCTTTTTCCCCTCGTGGATTATTCTTCCTAAAAGCGGATGACAGTGGTTGAGAACACAGGCTCTGAATCAGGCTTTCTGGGTTCACATCACAGTTTCCTCCATTTACGGATTGTGTGACTGGGAACTTGAGCAAGTGAGTTGATTGGCTAGCGAATCAAGTCAACATCAGGAATGTTGCAAGCCTGCAAATGTTACCATGGTAGCTTGAAAGTGGCTTTGGTTGGGAGTATTTACTGATTAGCTTGAAATTTACTTTGATTGGCAGTATTTACTAATTGTGTGACTAGGAACTTGAGCAAGTGACTTGTTTGGCTAGGGAATCAGACCAACATCAGGAATGTTGCAAGCCTGTTGATGTTACATTGGTAGCTTGAAATTGGCTTTGATTGGAAGTATTCACACCATGGAAATTGGCAAATGCTGCAAATCAGTGCCTGCCCCTTTCCCCAACCTGGGCATTACTATTTACCAGAACATCAAGCTCAGTTTCCTCATCTATAAAATGGGAGCAATAATAGTACCTACCTTGTGGAGAATTTTGTGACAGTTTCATCGTGCATGGTAAATACTTCGTGCTTGTGAGCTGCTCTTAGTATTTCCCTCATTTTACAAGGTCCAGTGCCTTTTTGTTTCATGTGCCCCATTCTGACACAGCTTCAAACACAGGACCAGCCAGATCTAGCACATGCCTTGGCAATAAACTTATTTTTTATTTTTTGATAGGTAGTCTTGCTCTGTTGCCCAGGCTGGAGTGCAGTGGCACAATCTCAGCTCACTGCAACCTCCGCCTCCCAGGTTCAAGTGATTCTCCTGCCTCAGCCTCCCAAGTAGCTGGGATTACAGGCGCCTGCCATGAGGCCCAGCTAATTTTTGTATTTTTAGTAGAGATGGGGTTTCACCATGTTGGCCAGGCTGTTCTCAAACTCCTGACCTCAGGTGATCTGCTCGCCTCGGCCTCCCAAAGTACTGGGATTACAGGCATGAGCCAGTAACAAACTTAAAAAAAAATTACTTAGCTAGATTATTTAGTCTTCAAACAGCCAGCTCATAACTGATAGGAAATGTGTGGTCTTAGGTTGTTTATAAGGCATACCCTGGTGACACATATGTTATAAAATTAGAATTCTTCTAAATCTAGCGCTGATTACTTATGTTATATATATTTCATTTGGCTGGGTGTTAGAAAGAATTTCTTCTTTGAGATTTCTATTATTTTTTCTCCCAATTAAGGCAAAGACTGTAAGGATAGTTTATTACAGCATTTGGTGGTTCAGTAAACAAACATGCTCTAAAAAACCTAAATAGCTGTGTTGAAGTAAAACATGTGTCCCAAATTCACATGAATTATATGCAAGTTAATACTTTGGTGAGCAAATAAACTCTTGGTAATATATTGCTGTCACCTGAGGGCTAAAAATATAATATATATTATAAATATCTGACTCAATCTGATCATGAATGAATTGATCACTTACGTGTATTTAAATATAATGGCAAAGCTTAAGCTCAGTATTCTCTTAAATGAGTTCATTTACTCTCAATAGGTTTGGGGGCCTTTATTTACTGAAAAAACAGATTCACGATTATTGGAATATGTGTTTTTTTTTTTAATTTTTAGTTTTTTGAGACAAGGTCTTTGAATTAATCACGTGTGTATTTAAATATAATGGCAAAGCTTAAGCTCAGTATTCTCTTAAATGAGTTCATTTACTCTCAATAGGTTTGGGGGCCTTTATTTACTGAAAAAATAGATTCACGATTATTGGAATATGTGTTTTTTTTTAATTTTTAGTTTTTTGAGACAAGGTCTTTGAATTAATCACTTATGTGTATTTAAATATAATGGCAAAGCTTAAGCTCAGTATTCTCTTAAATGAGTTCATTTACTCTCAATAGGTTTGGGGGTCTTTATTTACTAATAAAGTAGATTCATGATTATTGGAATATGTGTTTTTTTTTAATTTTTAGTTTTTTGAGACAGGGTCTTGCTCTCGCGCCCAGGCTGGAGTGTAGTGGCCCAATCATGGCTCATTGCAGCCTCAGACTCCTGGGCTCAAGTAATCCTCCCACCTCAGCCTCCCAAGTAGCTGGGACTATAAGCACATGCCATCATGCCCGGTTATTTTTTCCTTTTCTGAGATGGAGTCTAACTCAGTCACTGGGGCTGGAGTGCAGTGGCACAATCTCAGCTCACTGCAACTTTCACCTCCTGGGTTCAAGTGAGTCTCCTGCCTTAGCCTCCCAACTAGCTGGGATTACAGGTGGGTGCCACCATGCCTGGCTGATTTTTGTGTTTTTAGTAGAGATGGAGTTTCACCATGTTGGCCAGGCTGGTCTTGAACTCCTGACCTCAAGTGATCCACCCACCTCCGCTTCCCAAACTGCTGGGGTTATAGGTGTGAGCTAGCGCGCCGGGCCTGTGGCTATTAAAAAAATTTTTTGTGTGTGAAGATGGTGTCTCCTTTTGTTGCCCAGGCTGTTCTTGAACTCTTGGGCTTAAGTGATCCTCCCATTTTGGCTTCCCAAAGTGCTGGAGTTACAGGTATGAGCCACTGCACCTGGTCAGAATATGTATATCTTAATCTAACTTTATCAGCATTTAAGTGACAGGAAGTGAAAATGTTATTAATGCACAATTGATCACAAAACCATCACAGGTTCTGCAACGAGGATGAGTTTATATGAGAATTCTTCATCCAAGATGCTTGGAAGTTCATCTCTTCAAAGGATTGCCCTCTTCGGAAACAAGTAATAGCCTGCTTTGATGATGTTTACAAAATACCACATGTCAACATTTAAGAAGACAATGGTTTTCAAAGGAACTGGAAACTCCTTTCCTGGATTGAGAAGGCAGACTCTATGGCCACTGAGACTCCTTCTCCTTCAAGATGCTCTGAGGTCAACAAGTACCTTGTTTGCCTCTGGGAATTCTTTCCCTTGCAGTAGTAAACCTTTTCCAGGCCTTTTTCTATCACTGGAATTGCGTCTGGTCTCAGCAACAAGTTTCAGGAAAATTAATATACATAGGTCCCCCTTCTTTCTCAGGCAGAGGGACATCCCCAGAGGATGCAGGACTACCATCATGAGAGTGGACTGGTGGCTTTTTTTTTTTTTTTTTGAGACAGAGTCTCACCCTGTTGCCCAGGCTGGAGTGCAGTGGCGTGATCTTGGCTCACTGCAACCTCCGCCTCCTGGGTTCAACCGATTCTCCTGCCTCAGCCTCCCAAGTAGCTGGGATTACAGGCACACGTCACAACACCCGGCTAATTTTTGTATTTTTGTATTTTAGATGGGGTTTCGCCATGTTGGCCAAGCTGGTCTCAAACTCCTGACCTCAGGTAATCTGTCCACCTCAGCCTCCCAAAGTGCTGGGATTACAGGCATGAGCCACCGCGCCCGGCCGGACTAGTGACTTTATAAGAAGAGCTTCTCCCACTCTTCCCTGCTCCTGATCCTTCAGCATGCCAGAGTTGGGCTTCCGGAGTCTCATGTGGTCAGTAACGTTATTACTAATCCAACTTGTGCTCAAGCAACCTTGGCCCCACTGGAAAGGTTTGTCTCCACCACTGCTGACGAGTTCAATCTAGGTGGGAGGCAGTGGCCGTCACCCTGGCTAAGCATCTGCAATGTCCTTCTGACCACAGCCCACCACCTCTCCTGCTCATAAGCCTCCTGCCCTGGACCTCCCAGGCCTGAGCTCTGCTGCCCATTGTGTGTTCTGGTTTGCAGAATTAGGCTTCTGCTATGGTCTCTGCTATGATTTGCATATTTGTCTCCTTAAGAACTCATGTTGAAACTTGATCCCCAGTGTGGGATTATTGAGAGACGGGGCCTTTTCAAGGTGATTGGGTCATGAGGGCTCTACCCTTGAGAATAGATTAATCCATTAATTAATTAATAATTAATAAATTAATGGATTAATGGGTTATGAGAGTGGGACTGGTGGCTTTATAAGAAGGGAAGAGAGACCTGAGCTAGCACACTCAGACACTCGCCATATGATGCCCTGAGCTGTCTCAGGACTCTGGAGAGAGTCCCCACCAGCAAGAAGGCCCTCACCAGATGCAGCCCCTCAACCTTGGACTTCCCAGCTTCTGGAACAGTAAGGAATAAATGTAATTTCTTATAAGTAACCTAGTTCCAGATATTCTGTTATAAGCAATAGAAAATGTACTAAAACCACTATTAATAAAACAGTCTCTACTGCAAATTCTTTTCTGGAAAGTGCTAGTTCTCCAGACTCAATATAGGAACCCAGATTTTGCTCTAGCCAGCAGGCCCATCATGGGGCTGGGGCCTGGCCCTGTGAGCCTTCCCAGTGGCTTTGTCCCAGCTACGTGAATGTGTGTTTTCATGCTCTCCCATCTCTATGTCTCCTGTCCCCAGGATGACTGCCAACCTGCCAGCATTCTCCAGCATCACCCACCAAGGTGCCCTCAAACTCCTCTGTCGTCCTCCCCAGCTGCTCACTGTTTTCATGTGAACCTTGAGTATCAACTATTTTCCCACCTCCTCCAAGGGGAGAGCATAGCAAAGTGGTTAAGAGCCTGTGCTCTGGCACTGGATAGCCTGGTTCCAGCTTCACCTGTTACGACTTATGTGACTTTGGCAAGTCACTTAATCTCTCATGCCTCACTTTGCCATCTTTAAAAATGGGTTTAATCCTAGTGCTCACAGGTTTGTCATGAGCATATATAAAGTGATATTTGCAAAGTACGTAGAAGACGGATTGGCACCTGGTAAGCTCTGTATAAGGATTTGATCATTGTGTTAGTTTGCTAGGGCTGCCATAACAAAGTACTATAGACTGGATGGTTTAAACAACAGAAATGGATTTCCTTACAGTTCTGGAGGCTGGAAGTCTGAGATCAAGGTGACCACAGGGTTGGTTGCTTTTGAAGCCTCTCTCTCCTTGGCTTGCAGACAGCTGTCTTTTCTTCATGTCCTCAAATGGTCTTCCCTCTGTGTGTGTCTGTGTCCTCATCTCCTCTTCTTATAATGATACCAGTCATATTGGATTAAAGTCCACCCTAATGACCTCATTTTTGCTTTATTATCCCTTTAAAGGCCCTATTTTCAAACACAGTAGCCTCTCTTTTTCTGTGGGGATACATTCCGAGACCCCCAGTGAATGCGTGAAACCATTGATAGTACCAAACCATATATATATATATACCATGTTTTTTTCTATACATACGTACCTATGATAAGTAAGAGATTAACGACAGTAGCTAATAATAAAATAGAACAATTTTAACAATATGCCAGCATCACTACTCTTGTGCTTTGGGTCCCTTATGAAGTAAAATAAGAATTATTTGGATACAAGCACCATAATATCACAACAGTGATAACCAAGACAGCTCCTAAATGACTAACAGCATGGGGTATCTACAGGGTGGCTATATGGATTAAGGGATGATTCACATCCTGGGTGGGACCGAGTGGGATGGCATGAGATTTAATCATGCTACTCAGAATGGAATGCAATTTAAAATGTATGAATTATTTCTGGAACTTTCCATTTAATATTTTTGGACTGCAGTAGACCATGGGTAATGGAAACTATAGAATGTGAAACTGCAGATAAGGGGGAACTACTATATGGTTATATTATGAGGTATTAGGGTTTAGGATTTCAACATACGAATTTGGAAAGGAGGTACAATTCAGCCCAAAACAATAACTAAATGAATAATTTGTGCCTGGACACTGCCAAGCTCCTGCAGCCATTGCTATAGACTGAATGTTTGTGTCTCCCTGAAACTCATCTCTTGAAACCCCACCCCCTAAAATTCAATGGGGCCTTTGGGAGTGATTAGGATTAGATGAGGTCAGGAAGGCAGGATTAGTGCCCTTGTAAGAGTCCTGAGGCAGTTTGCTCCCCTCTGCTCTGGGTCACATGAGAACACAGTGAGAAGAGGGCCATCTGCAGCCCAGGAGAGGCCTCACGAGAAGCTATGCTGGTGCCCTCATCTCAGACTTCCAGCTTCCAGAACTGGGAGAAATACATTTCTGCTGTGTATAAGCTACTCAGTTGGCCGGGTGCGGTGGTTCATGCCTGTAATCACAGCACTTTGGGAGGCCAAGGCAGGAGGATCACAAGGTCAGGAGTCCGAGACCAACTTGACCAATGTGGTGAAACCCCGTCTCTACTAAAAATACAAAAATTAGCTGGGCATGGTGGCTTGCACCTGTAATTCCACCTACTCGGGAGGCTGAGGCAGGAGAATCACTTGAACCTGGGAGGCAGAGGTTGCAGTGAGCCAAGACCATGCCACTGCACTCCATCCTGGGCGACAGAGTGAGAATCTATCTCAAAAAAAAAAAAAATCTACTCCGTCTATGGCATTTGTTTTTTATAGCAGTGTATACTGGCTAAGACCATGCCCTTTTGACTATCTCTGGCTGGCCCCGCGATGGCTGTCTAGAGTGATTTCTCCCCAGCGTTAGCCTGGGACAGCAGCTGGACATCCTTCACCAGCTCCATCAGAGTGACAGCAGCCGGCTCTCCCCCTCTTTCCCTTCTAGGTCCCTGCATGACCTGGCCTTGTAGAGGAGGGGCCCAGCCTTTGGTATCTTGGTCCACTGCTTACTCATTCAAAATTGGCAGAGGTGAAAACTGGAATATAACAGAGAAATCAGCTCACCACAAAAAGACAGCACTACTTGTTAGTATAGTTGAGGCTTGAACAACAGGGGCTTAAACTGCGTGGGTCCACTTATATGTGGATTTTCTTCCACCTCTGCCGCCCGGAGACAGCAAAGCCAACTCCTCCTCTTCCTCTTCCTCCTCAGCCTACTCAATGTGAAGATGAAGATGAGGATGAAGACTTTTATGATGATCCACTTTCACTTAATGAATAGTAAATATACTTTATCTTCTTTATGACCTTCCTTCCTTCCCTTCCCTTCCCTTTCCTTTCCCTTCCCTTCCTTTCCCTTCTCTCTTTCTTTCCTTCCTTCCTTCCTCCCTCCTTCCTTCCCTCCCTCCCTCCCTCCCTCCCTCCCTCCCTCCCTCCCTCCCTCCCTCTCTCTCTCTCTCTTTCTTTCTTTCTCTTTCTTTTCTTTCCTTCTTTCGTCCTTTCCTCTGTCACCCAGACTGGAGTGCAGTGGCACAACCTAGCTCACTGCAGCCTCCAACTCCTGAGCTCAAGCTATCCTCCCATCTCAGCCTCCCAAAGTCCTAGGATTACAGGCATAAGCCACCATGCCTGGCTCTCTTTCTTACAGTTTTCTTAATAAAATTTATTTTCTCTGGCTTATTTTATTGTAAGAATACAGTATATGATACACATGACATAAAAAATGTATTAATTGACTGTTTATATTCTTGGTGAGACTTCTGGTCAACACTAGGCTATCAGTAGTTAAGTTTTTGGAGAGTCAAAAGTTGTGTGTGGCTGGGCGCGGTGGCTCACGCCTGTAATCCCAGGACTGGGAGGCTGAGGCGGGTGGATCATCTGAGGTCAGGAGTTTGAGACCAGCCTGACCAACATGGCAAAACTCTGTCTCTACTAAAAATACAAAAATTAGCTGGGCGTGGTGGCGTGTGCCTGTCATCCCAGCTACTCGGGATGCTGAGACAGGAGAATTGCTTGAACCCAGGAGGCGGAGGTTGCAGTGAGCCGAGATCGAGCCACTGCACTCCAGCCTGGGTGACAGAGCAAGACTCCATCTTGAAAAGAAAAAAAAAGTTATAAGTGAATTTTTGACTGCTAGGAGGAGGGAAAGGGGTTGGTGCTCCTAATCCCTGCATTGTTCAAGGGTCAATTGTGGTTAGAAACAAAGTCAAGTCCCAGCCACCAGAGAGATATTTAATGGTTAATATTGGGTTAATACTGTGGCCCCTTCCTAGACCCTGAATGTTTTCCCAAATAAGTACTTCGACCTCCAAAATGACTTTTGCCCAGGCTGGAGTGCAGTAGCACATTCTTGGCTCACTGCAACCTCTGCCTCCTGGTTCAAGAGATTCTCCTGCCTCAGCCTCCCGAGTAGCTGGGATTACAGGTGTGCACCACCAGGTCCAGCTAATTTTTGTATTTTTAGTAGAGACGGGGTTTCGCCATGTTGGCCAGGCTGGTCTTGAACTCCTGACCTCCTCCTGCCTCAACCTCCCAAAGTGCTGGGATTACAGGTGTGCGTCATTGTGCCCCGTCCTTCGAAAGGCTTTTATCATCACCTCTTGAAATAGCAATTTTGAAGTTTGAGAGCTTTCATTACAGACTTGACCTCCCCTTCTGGTGCTGATTATGGGAAAGTGCTATCTTTCCGGCATATCATGAGTTATTTTCTTCATAATTCAGTTCCTGGAGTGAGGGGGTCTTAGCTTGTACTCCTGTATAAACAGACTGTGATGTTGATGTGTTATGAAACTGGAGCGCGATGGGCACCCAGTTACTAGCTGGTAAGTGTTACTGTCTCTCCTTCCCTCCATGCATCTTCGGCAAATGACCAACTCTTATCTGAAATTCTGAGTCTTTGTGTGGACTCGTTACCACAATAATTATGGATAGGGTAAATACAGTTAATGCCTATTTACTGAGCATGTGTTATGTCCCAGGCATGTGTTAAATACTTATGTGATTTCATGAATCATCAAGAGCTGCCTGTGAAATAGGTGTTATTATCCTCATTTTACTAGATGAAGAAATGAGAGCTTTGGACAGTGGCAAAGCCAGTAGATGTCAGAGCCAGGATTTCAACCCGAGCATCTCTGATTCCAAAGCCCAGGCTCTTTGCCATTCTGATTTTTGGTTTTTGGCCTCCTAAATACCTCCTGGCTCAATTTTTATTTATCTATCAAGCAAGGTGTCTTCTTTCCTCTTGGATTTTCTTCTTCCTATGTAATTTTTTTGTTTTGTTTTTTTGAGACAGAGTCTCACTCTGTATTTTAGGCTGGAGTGCAGTGGCACGATCTTGGCTTACTGCAACCTCCGCCTCCAAGGTTCAAGTGATTCTCCTACCTCAGCCTCCCAAGTAGCTGGGACTACAGATGCGCACCACCATGCACAGCTAATTTTTGTATTCTTAGGAGAGACAGGGTTTCACCGTGTTGTCCAGGCTGGTCTCGAACTCCAGACCTCAGGTGATCTGCCCGCCTCGGCCTCCCAAAGTGCTGGGACTACAGGTGTGAGCCACTGCTCCCGGCCGTAATTTTTAACTAAAGGAAGCTGTGCCAATGTGGATCTGCACTTCCAAATGTTACACACCAGTAAGGGCTAAGATGAAACAACTAATTATTTGATCAGGAGAAAGGTATTAGAAAAGTAGCATCAAAGGCCAGGCACAGTGGTTCATGTCTGTAATCTTAGCACTTTGGGAGGCCAAGGCGGGAGGATCGCTTGAGCCCAGGAGTTTGAGACCAGCCTGGGCAACATCGCGGGACCTCGTCTCTATAAAAAATAGAAAACTTAGGCATGGTGGCGTGTGCCTGTAGTCCCAGCTATTCAGGAAACTGAGGTGGGAGGATTGCCTGAGACCAGGAGGTACAGGCTGCAGTGAGCCACGATCGTGCCACTGCATTGAAGCCTGGGTGACACAGCGAGACCCCATCTCAAAAACACAAAACAAAGCAAAAAGAAATAAATAAAGAAGAGTGGCATCAGCTGCATAGCACTGGATTTGTCCAAACCAATGAATTCCTTTATTTTGCCCCAGGGATTGGTTTATATGTAAAATCAAATTGAATGAAGTCTAATATAACTGAAAAAGAAAAGATGAGATAAAATGTACTAAATAATGAGAATTTTACCAAATGATTTGGAAAGAACAGCCAGAGAATGCATACTTGTGCGCACACCTGGCCATGGTAATAATAGGTCTCTTTTCTCACGGAAACACTTCAGATACTCCCTACTCCTAATAACAGGCCTTATGTGTGAACTAAACGGACCATGTTACCTTCGTGTTTCATGGGACAATGTTTCTTTCCTCTTCAAGCTGTTCTTTCACTTCTTAGCAGCAGTGGCCCTCCCCGGCCTTAATTACCACAATGAAACCAGTACACAGCTACACTGTGTGAAGGTGCATTTATAGAATGCAGGTGCTTTTTGATTTTTAAATGGCAAGAAAGTATAACAATACTATGAAGTCAATAGTGTGCACACTCCAGCCTGGGAGACAGAGCAAGACCCTATCTCAAAAAAAAAAAAAGTGTGCTTTCATGGTTAATTAGTAGCTGCTTTTTTTTTTTTCTTTTCTTGAGACAGAGTCTCACTCTGTTGCCCAGGCTGGAGTGCACACTATGAGTAATTAGTGAGTAACTAATAATTTTTATTAGCGAGTGTGTTTTGCGGATATTGACCATTAGTGTTCTTCTAGTTGAAGTTCAACAATGATTTTTCATGTCATTAGTCATAGTTATAGTCCATGTGGGAACAATGGCATATTTTATATCTTTATTAAGTGTCCTTTTGGTTATAGGGTTTGTAGGTTTCTCCTTGAAACCTTCTCCTATTTATGGGGGCCTAGAGCTAATTATTAGTGGTGCTGTAGGTTGTGGTATTGTGTTGATTTTTGGTGTGGCTTTTGTGGGGTTGACAGTCTTTTTGGTTCACTTGGGTGGCATGATGGTTGTTTTTGGCTATACCATGGCAATGGCTGCTGAGGAATATCCTGAAACATGAGGGTCAAATATTGACATCTGAGGGGCTTTACTATTATGAGTATTAAAGGGGTTGCTGTCGGTTTGGTGAATAGTTGAGCATGATGGGGTGGGGATCATGATTGATTTTAACAGCATAGAGAGTTGGATGATTTTTGAGGGGGAGGGGGAGGGGTTGTTGCATGAGGATCCTGTGGGTGCGGCTGCCTTGTATAGTTATGGGTGTTGAATAGTGGTAGTTGCTGGTTGATCATTATTTGTTACTATTTACGTTGCGATTGAAATTACTCGGGGTAATAGATTAGATAATTAGGAGTAGGGTTAAAAGGGATGGGATAAAAAAAGAGAGAAAGTAGAGTTTAATTAGGCCTTTTTGAGTAGACACAGTAATGGAGGCTGAAATTTGGGTTTGTGAAATGGTCTTTGGTATAGACTTTTCTAGTCAAATTAGGTCTAGTAGTAGTGAAGCCAGATTTTGGCTTGTGGATAGGTTTGAGTTGGGGGTTGTATGGTGAATTGTGACTGAATAGAATCCTAGTATTTTGGAGAAGTTGAATGTCTGTAGTGGGTATTTTAGTTTAAGGTTATTAGTTATGAGATTAAACTCCATTGCTAGTAAGAAGCCTAAGGTGGTCACACCTAGGGCTGTGAGCTTCAGGTGGAGTGGTATGGTTGTTTGGGGGGATGACGCAGGAATAATACTGTTGGTGAGGAGGAATCCGGCGAAGATGCTGCTGATTGTTAGGTGTTTAATTAGGAAGGGGTTATTTTCGTTAATAATAACCAGAGTCATGAAGTAAGGTTGCCCTATTAGAGCGAAGAAAATAATATGGGTACTGTAGACAGCTGTCAAGGAGGTGGCAATAAGCGTAATAGAAAGGGCTCAGGCATTGGTGTATGATGTGTTTGCAGGTTCAATAATGAGGTCTTTGGAGTAAAAGCCTGTGAGGAAGGCATACCTGTAAGTTGTGAGGCTGCTGATAAAATGGGAGGAGGAAGTGAGGGGTAGAGTCTTGAATAGCCCTCCTATTTTTCGGATGTCTTGTTCTTCACTGAGGTTATGGATGAGGGACGCTGAACATATAAATAATATAGTTTTGAAAAAGGCATGGGTGCAGATGTGAAGGAATGCTAGATGCAGCTGATTAATGCCAATTGTGACTATTATAAGGCCTAACTGGCTTGAGGTGGAGAATGCTATGATATTTTTGATATCATTTTGTGTTACAGCACAGGTGGCTGTGAATAAGGTAGTAATAGCCCCCAGACATAATGTAAAGGTTTGGATTGATAGGTTATTTTCTATTAAAGGGTAGAAGCAGATGAGCAGGAACACTCCTGCTACAACTATAGTGCTGGAGTGGAGTAGGGCTGAGACTGGGGCTGGGCCTTCTATGGCAGATGGGAGTCAGGGATGGAGGCCGAATTGAGCTGACTTTCCTGCTGCTGCTAAGAGAAGGCTAATTAATGGGAGGGAGTTGGGGGTAGGGTCTAGAATTTATTTTTTGCTGATATTCTCATGTGTTGGAGGACAGGAGGAATCATGCTATAGCTGAAATAAAGCCAATATTGCCGATGCGGTTGTACAGAACTGCTTGGCTGCTGTATTAGCATCTGCTCGGCCGTACCATCAGCCGATTAGTAAGAAAGACATGATTCCTACGCCTTCTCATCCAATGAAGAGCTGAAAGAGGTTGTTGGCGGTAACCAGAATTAATATTGTGATGAGGAAAATAAGTATTTGAACAATTGATTAATGTTAGGGTCTGAGTTTATATATCATATTGAGAATTCTATAATAGATCAGGTAATGAACAGTGAGTGTTACTGGGATAAATATTGTGGAGAATTAGTCTAGCTTGAAGCTTAGTGAGAGTTTGAGAGTTTGGACGGTCATTCAGTGTCAGTTTGAGATAATGACTTCTTGGTCTGTGCATATCAACATTGTTGTAGGAATGAGGCTAATAACGAAGGCACATGCGATAGATGTTTTTACGTAATTTGGGTGTGAAACTTTTGCGGGGGTTGGCTAAGGTAATGGTAATCGGTAAGATTAAGGGGATTAGGGATGTTATAGCAGTGGAAGAATACATGTTTGTTGCTTTATTTGGAGTTGCACCAATGCTTTTGGCTCCTAAGACCAACGGATGACTCTAATCCTTTAAAAGTTGAGAAAGCCATGTTGTTAGGCATGGGGGCACGAGTTAGCAGTTCTTGCATACTTTCTCAGTAGGTAAGAAGTTGCAGGCTTCTATGATTAGATCTGCAATCTAATGTTTTGGTTAAACTGTAGCTACAGCATGCAAACCCCATAATAAGTTTAGGGTTTAAAGATAATAGGAAGATAGACGCAAGATGTATAAGTATTAATGTGTTCTCTCGTGTAAAGGAAGGTTTAGTACTGTTAATATAATATGCAAGTGTCCCTCGTTGTGTTGTGATTAGCATATTTAGGGAGTAAAGGGCTGTAATTAGTATATTAAGTCCTATAAGCATAATAGTGATATTAGATCAGAAGAATGAGGCCACGGTCACAAAGAGTTCTACTAGATTAATGGTGTGGGGTAAGGCAAGGTTAGTAAGATTTGCTAGAAGTCATCAAGAGGCTATTAGCAGAAGCAGTGTTTGAAGGCGTTCGGTAAGTAATAGGGTTCACCTATGGGCCTGCTCGTAGTTTGAATTTGCTAGGCAGAATAGTAAGGCTGAAGTGAGTCCATGAGCAATTATAAGGGTGACTGCACCTGTTAAGCTTCAAGGGGTCTGAATGAGGATAGCCATGATAACAAGTGCTATGTGGCTTACAGAGGAGTAGGCAATACATGATTTTAGATCAGTTTGTCATAGACAAATAGAGCTTGTCATAACTCTCCCTCATAGGGACAGTATGAGGAAAGGGTATGCTATATGTTCTGTTAGGGGATTGAGGAGAAGAGTAAGTTGTATTATACTGTAGCCACCTAGCTTTAGGAGTCCTGCTCCAGGTACTATCGAGCCGCAATAGGGGCTTCTACGTGGGCTTTGCGGAGTCATAGGTGAAACCTGTATAGAGGTATTTTTACTATAAAAGCTATGATACATGCTAGTCATGTAGGATTGTTGGATCAGGAGGCTAATGGCTCTTGGGTAGTAAGTATTATTACTAGCATGTTTAGTGAACCTGAGGTATTTTGAGTATAAACAAGTGTTACAAGTAGAGGAAGGGATCCTACTAGTGTGTAAAATAGAAGTATGAGCTTGCATTGAGGCGTTCTGGTTGGTTGCCTCAGTGGGTGATGATAATTAGGGTAGGAACTAGTGTGGCTTCAAAGGGGATATAAAATATAATTAGTTCTGTGGCTGTGAATGCTCTGATTAAAAAAGTCAGTAGGGAAATCAATATAGAAATATAGAGCTTTTTTCATGGGGGTGATTCATTGGACAGGTGATATTGGCTTCTAGCAAAAACTGTAAGAGGCAGTAGACAGGCTATTAAGATTAGAAGCGGTGACGTCAGCGGGTCAGAAGAGAAAATTAATGAGAGGTTGGATGGGTTATCGCTGAATTGGTTAAAAAATAGTAGGCTGGCGAGGCTGATGAGTAGGCTGTGAATAATCATGTTGATTCAGATTATAGAATTTTTAGAGAATCATGTCATTGGTAACAGTATAATTGTTGGAATAATAATTTTTAGCATTGAAGTAAATTTAGATTTTGTACGTAATCCAGGCCATATGTGTTGGAGATTGAAACTAGTAAGGCAAAGCCCACTGCAGCTTCGCAGGGAGCAAATACTAGGAGGATGATGGGGATTATGGGTGCTAGAGTGAAATGTATGCTTAAAGCTGTAAGAGTATTTATGATAACTATTGATAGTATTATGCCTTCTAGGCATAACAGGGATGATACTAGGTGGGATCGATAGACTAATATCCCTAGCAGTGATATGGTGTGTGCTAATAAGGGCATTTGGTAAACATGGTCTATCATAATCTAATGAGTAAAAATCATTTATTTTGGCTTAAACTATTTACCAATTCATCCCGGTCTAATCCTTTTTGGGCTCATTCATGTCAAGCCTAGGATTAAAGTGGTAATTGTATAAGGGCTGCGCTGATTATTAGTGTCAGGTTGGTTATTTGAAGGGCTCATGGCAGGGGTAGTAGTAGAGTGATCTCTGAGTCGAAAAGGAGGAATGTGATGGCTACTAGGAAGAATTTTATGGAAAAGAGGAGGCAGGCGGAGGCTATTGGGTCAAATCTGCATTCACAGGGGCTGGATTTTTCTATATAAGTATTACGCTGTGGGAGCAATGCAATTGTTATTAGTAATAGGGCCAGTAAGGTGTTGGTTACTAGGGCTAGTGTCAGGTTGATTACTCTCTTGGATATTATTGAAACTGATTGGAAATCAATGGTATTGTTTATACTAAAAGAGTAGGATCCTCATCAGTAGACAGAGACGTGTAAGAATAGTCATACTACATCTACGAAGTGTCAAATCAGACGGCAGCTTCAAAGCCAAAGTGGTGGCTGGATGTAAAGTGGAATTTTAATTGGCGGAGAAGGCAGATAGTGAGAAATGTTGATCCAATGATAGCGTGAAGTCCGTGAAAGCCTGTGGCTGTAAAGAACGTTGAGCCGTAGTTTCCATCGGAGAGAGTAAAGAGATTGTGCAGTGAGCACAATCTCAGCTCACTGCAACCTCCGCCTTCCGGGTTCAAGCCATTCTCCTGCCTCAGCCTCCCAAGTAGCTGGGATTACAAGCAGGCACCACCATGCTGGCTAATTTTTGTATTTTTCTTAGAGATGGGGTTTCACCATATTGGCCAGGCTGGTCTCGAACTCCTGACCTCAAGTGATCTGCCTGCCTTGGCCTCCCAAAGTGCTGGGAATACAGGCGTGAGCCACTGTGCCTGGCCCTGCATTTTTTCTTTAAATGAGGTATGGAGGAGATGAGAGCCTTTTGGCTCTTTTTTTTTTTTTTTTTTTTTTGAGACTTTTTGGAGTTTCACTCTTGTTGCCCAGGCTGGAGTGCAATGGCACGATCTCGGCTCACCGCAGCCTCCGCCTTCCGGGTTCAAGCGATTCTTGTGCCTCAGCCTCCTGAGTAGCTGGGATTACAGGCATGTGCCACCACGCCCAGGTAATTTTGTATTTTTAGTAGGGACAGGGTTTCTCCATGTTGGCCAGGCTGGTCTCGAATTCCCGACCTCAGGTGATCAGCCTGCCTCTGCCTCCCAAAGTGCTGGGATTACAGGCGTAAGCCACCGTGCTGGCCGAGCCTTTTGGTTCTTAAATGCCTCAGTCTGACAGCAGGCAGGGTAGTGGTGTTGTCAAGTGGACTGATTCAAATTCAAATTCAGTCACTTAGTAGTTGTCTAACATCTGGCAAGTTACTTAATTTGAATTCAGTTTCTTTTCTTTTCTCTGTTTCTCTCTCTTTGAGACAGCATCTCTTTCTGCTGCCCAGGCTGGAGTGCAGTGGCACGATCTCAGCTCACTGCAGCCTTGACCTCCTGATCCCATGTGATCCTCCTGCCTCAGCCTCCTGAGTAGCTGTAATTACAGACATGCATTACCATGCCTGGCTAATTTTTAAATTTCTTGTAGAGATGGGGTCTTGCTCTGTTGACCAGGCTGGTCTTGAACTTCTGAGCTCCAGCAATCTGCCCTCCTCGGCCTCTCAAAGCGCTGAGATTACAGGTGTGAGACACTGCACCCAGCCTAAACTCAGCTTCCTCATATTTATATGAGGAACCTACATCTACCAAATGAGGATAAAGAATATCACAATGCAATTTGTAAAGATTTAAAAACTCCTGGCTGGGCACAGTTGCTCACACCTGTAATCCTAGCACTTTGGGAGGCCGAGACAGGCAGATCACCTGAGGTCAGGAGTTTGAGACCGGCCTGGCCAACATGGTGAAACCCCATCTCTACTAAAAATACAAAAATTAGCCAGACATGGTGGTGTGTGCCTGTAATCCCAGCTACTTGAGAGGCTGAGGCAGGAGAATCGCTTGAAACCGGGGGGTGGAGGTTGCAATGAGCCGAGATTGTGCCACTGCACTCCAGCCTGACAGAGCAAGACTCTGTCTCCAAAAAAAAAAAAAAAAAAAAAAGAAGTTAACTCTTTTGCTTAAGACCTGGCACATGATGTTCGCACTCAACAAATATTGGTTCCCCCGCCCCCCTTTCCTTGGTTACTATTTCAGTCTTCTAAGGGTTCATTCACACCCCTAAGGAGAAGCACTTAATGTCAAGAAAGGACTAGTAGTAACTTTCATGCATTTATTCAGATAATACCTTCTGATTGCCATCATGTGCCAGATGATATGTTAGGTACTGGGAATGAGTAAAACCATATAAACCAAATGGTATCCAAGATAGGTGTCAATCAGTTTAGAAAGTTTTTTGTGCTAGGGTTAAGAACACACCCATGACACAGCCTCAGGAGCTCCTGACAACATATGCCCAAGGTGGTCGGGGCACAGCTTGATTTTATATATTTTAGGGAGACATGAGACATCAATCAATATATGTCAGATGTACATTGGTTCAGTCCAGAAAGGCAAGACAACTCAAAGTGGGGAGGGGCCTTCCAGGTCCTAGGTAGATAAGAGACAAACTGTTGCATGCTTTTGAGTTTCTGATTAGCCTTTCATTGAATAAACAGTTTACAGCAGTGGTCCCTTACCCCCAGGCCGCGGACCAGTATGGGTCTGTGGCCTGTTAGGAAGCAGGAGGTGAGCAGCCAGTGAGTATTACCGCCTGAGCTCCACCTCCTGCTAGACCTGTGGTGGCATGAGATTCTCATAGGAGGGTGAACCCTATTGTGAACGGTGCATGGGAGAGATCTAGATTGCTCCTTATGAGAATCTAACTAATGCCTGATGATCCAAGGTGGAGCAGTTTCCTCTGAAACCATCCCGCCCACCCCACATCTGTGGAAAAAATGTCTTCCACAAAACCAGCCCCTGGTGCCAAAAAGGTTTGGGACTGCTGATTTACAGGACTAGTCACTTATGCCTTAGTCTGGCTTAGTGAAACAATAGGGCAGAGCAAGCAAATCAGATGTGCATTTGTCTCACATGAGCAGAGGGATGACTTTGACTTCTGCCTGTCCTTTGTCTGCAAGGAATTTCCTCATGGGCAAATTGTGAGGGAGTGCGGGGCTTGCGGGGGTGGTGGTGGTGGAGGGTGGGGTGGGTATGTAGCTATCTTACTTAGGAATAGAGTGGGAGGCAGGTTTGCCCAAGGCAGTTCCCAGCTTGACCCTTCCCTCTGGCTTAGTGATTTCGGGGAGATTTCTTTTCCTTTCACACCTAGAACCCCGGCTCTCAGAGGGTTTATGGCATTGTGGGGGAGACAGATCTTCCTTGAGTCATCACTTACACAAGTGTACAACTGCAACCATGACACGGGTCTCAAAGGAGAGCCTCGCAGTGAATAAGAACCTAGAGATAGATTTGACCTCGTCAGAGAGGTCAGAGAAGGCTTGAGTCTTCAGTGATGCTTGAGTCAAGATCTACCAAATAAGTCCATCTGGCAAAGAGAGGAGGGAAGAGTGTGCCAGGCAGAGGAAGCTGCAGGTGCAAAGGCCTTGTGGCAGCAGGGAGCATGGCTAGTAGGTGGGTTTGAATCATGACCAGCGTGGATGGAGTACAGGGTTTTCAGGGGGAGTGAGGTGTGAAAGTGACGCTGGAGAGTAAGTAGGAGTCAGGGCAGGCAGGGCCTTGGAGGCCACCCTGGGTCACTAGTGAATCTTTGAAGTAAGTGGCTACAATACCAGCATGCGGTTAATGATTGTATGTGGGTTTGAACATTTACAAGTTAGTAAATTATGTATAGCTGAAACTGAAGCAAGTTGTGAGGGTTTTCCTAGAAACCAGATGGAATGCAGGATGGTACTAGTGTGTCCCTGTTTTGTCCACACATCAACAAAAGCATTAAAACTGGGCAGACGCCCAGCTCATCCTCCACCTCTGCTGCTCTGGGCCTACATCCTGGGGACGGCGGAGCAGTGCGCCACCCAGGAGATGTGGCTGGAAGCTGGGGAGTAGAGGGCATCCTCTGATCTTTCATGAAAACAGCCCATGGCAGTGCACGGTGGCTCCCACCTGTAATCCCAGTGCTTGGGAGGCAGAGGTGGGAGGATTGCTTGAGCCCAGGAGTTCGAGACTAACCCAGGCAACATAGTGAGACCCTGTCTCTACAAAAAAATAAAAAAAAGTTAGCCTGGCATGGTGGCATGCACCTGTAGTCCCAGCTACTCAGGAGGCTGAGGCTGGAGGATTGCTTGAGCCCAGGAGCTCGAGGCTGCAGTGAGCTGTGATGGCGTCACTGCACTCTGGCCTGCACAACAGGGCGAGATCCCATCTCAAGAAACAAAAAACAAAAAACAAAAAAAACCCGCCCATGATCTGGCGTCTTACCCCCCGAAGAGCTGAGGAGATGTAAGTGTGAATAATTCTGTCTAATGGATTGCTATCATCCACGTTCTTCTCAGTGTTAAGAACAGAGGTCCCAATCCAGACCCCAAGAGAGGGTTCTTGGATCTCATGCAAGAGAGAATTCAGGGCCAGTCCACAGTGCAAAGTGAAATAAACTTGCTTTATTAAGAAAGTAAAGGAATAAGAGAATGGCTACTCCATAGACAGAGCAGCCCCGAGGGCTGCTGGTTGCCCATTTTTATGGTTATTTCTTGAGTATATGCTAAACAAGGGGTGGATTATTCATGCTTCCCCTTTTTAGACCATATAGGGTAACTTCCTGATGTTGCCATGGCATTTGTAAACTGTCACGGTGCTGACGGCAGTGTAGCACTGAGGACAACCAGAGAGGTCACTCTTGCGGCCGTCTTGGCTTTGCTAGGATTTAGCCAGCTTCTTTACTGCAAACTGTTTTATCAGCAAGGTCTTTACAACCTGTATTTTGTGCTGACCTCCTATCTCATCCTGTGACTTAGAATGCCTTAACCGCCTGGGAATGCAGCCCAGTAGGTTTCAGCCTCATTTTACCCAGCCCCTATTCAAGATGGAGTTTTTGGTTCACATGCCTCTGACATCAGATCAATGTTGCTTGTTATTACTCTTATTATTGTCATCTCAAATCTGAAGAGTCACCAGAACAAACTTCCTTCTGCCCTTTGGTTTGCTCCCTCCCCTGGCTCCCAGCAGCAGGGGGGCTGCTGACAATTCACAGATTAGTAGTTGACTTCCATGGGGGCTGGAGCTCAGGATCAGAGGCAAGCCCTTTTGACTCATGGTCGTGGGGTCCCAGCGTGAAGCTGCTCTGTGATTGCCCTGGAACTCAACATGTCAGAGCTGCCACAGGGAGATGGCAGAGGCTGCTTGGTAGCTGAGAACAAGGGAGACGCCCTGGGAGATGCTCAGAAACAATCCGAGGTTCAGAAGCAGGGCCAGAGCCCCCAGGGATGTGAGCAGAGTGGAAGGAGCAAGGCATGGCCATCAGTATTCCGGCCCCAGTGTATTAATACCTACGGGCTGGGCGACCTGGGCATCTGAGCTTGCATTCAGAGGTGTCATAGGAGAGCCCCCTGGGGCCTGTGCTGCGGCTCCCTCCCCAACGGTGGTGTCTGATGATAGGGTTTTGCAGCAGGCTATCTCCTCCATCCATTCCTGATGGTCAGAAGGCAGGAGAGCCTGAGAGGACAACATCTCTGCCATCAAGTGGGAACTCGCAGTGGGATTCCTCACTGTCTTCCCAAAAGACACAATTTCCACAGCATTTGCGCATCTTGTTCACAGGGCCCTACCTGTGTGGTGCTGATGGCTTATTCTCCATCCAGATAGCCGAGGATCGTAGTTTGTATTTTAAAATGATGTCAAGCATGCTCTTAAAATGCCCCACTAGCGATGTTAGTTATCATTAATGTAATGTTAATGATATCCAAAGAGGAGTAAAAATTTGAGCAAAGTGCCAAAAAAGTAGGATTCTTGATTGCTAGTCACAAAGCCCAACTTTTTATTGAAGTATAACATACACACAGAAAAGTGCCCAGATCAAAAGTGTACAGCTCCAAGAATGTTCACAAACGGAAAGCACCCAGGTAACCGGCAACCAGATCAAGAAACAGAACACCCCAGAAGCACCACCTCATGCCCGCTTCTGGTTACTGTCTTCTTAGGACTGATCTCTACTTGCAACCGCATGGATGAATTTTGCTGGGTTTTAAACTTTATATAAATGGAATCCTATGGTGCATTTTTGCCTTATCTCGTTCAACACTAGGGTTGGTGAATACACTCCAAGTTGGGGGTGGAGTTGCAGCTCATTCCCATTGCAGTCTGGGATTCCATCGTGTGAATATACCCTAATGTGCTTATCCAGCCAACATGGGCATTGGGGTGCTTTCCTGTTCGGGGTTATTATGGAGAGTGTTTTTGTGAAGATTTAGAGCATGTCTCTGGATGAACACATGTACACATTTCTGTAGGGTATACACCTAGGGGTGGAATTGTTAGGTCATATATATTTACATCCAACTCAAGCTCTTTCATGAAAGAAGAAAGAATGTACTGGATGGAGTTTGCTGGCTCAAAGAATTGACAGAAAACTAGAAGGGAGGTCTGTAGGAAGATAGGTGGAGGCGGAGACAGCTCAGCGAGTCCAAGGAGTGGAGCAGAAATGACATTCCCAGGACGCTGCCATCCCTGGACATTGCTACCAGTGGACACACCATCCCTGCAGCCTGCCAGCCCTACCCACCTGCCTTGCTGTATGACTACCAACCCCGGACCACGGTGGCTTCCTTGAAATGAGTCTCAGCATCCCTTCATTTGTGTCACATTCTCCAGGCTCATAGCCCCAAGCAAGGGTCCAGGTAGTCCACCCCAGGTCAATGACCACTTCCCGACTGGTATGGGGCTGGAAGCGGGGTGTGCCTGAGAGACAGGAAATACTTCCCTTCTTCAGCTTCCACGGTGGGTACTGCACACCACTAAGTTTATATCTAAGGCATGATGTCCCTGCTGTAGGAAGGGAGGGGAGATGCTGGACAGTTAAGCTGAAAACACAAAAATGACAACTGTCCCCACAGCTGCACTCCACAATGCAAGCAGGCTTTATTCCATTCATCTTCCACTGACAGAGTGGGGGAGCTCAGTGACATGTCTGTGGATCTCACAGCTCATGTGCAGAAATCTCCATCTAAGAAGAGGGAACTAGGCCAGGCGCGGTGGCTCATGCCTGTAATCCCAGCACTTTGGGAGGCCAAGGCGGGCGGATCACTTGAGGTCTGGGCTTCAAGACCAGCGTGGCCAACATGGTGAAACTCCGTCTCTACTAAAAATACAAAAATTAGCCGGGTGTGGTGGCGGGCGCCTGCAATCCCAGCTCCTCGTGAGGTTGAGGCACAAGAATCGCTTGAACCCAGGAGGCAGAGGTTGCAGTGAGCCAAGATTGCGCTACTGCACTCCAGCCTGGACGACAGAAAGAGACTCTGTCTCAAAAACAAAAACAAAAACAAAAAAAGAAGAGGCAGCTGGATTCAGGATCACTCTAGGAAGGGTGACCCGTCCCCAAATGCCATAGGTCTGGAAGAGGTGCAGTAAAAGGACAGAAAAGCATCTCACAGGGGAAGGTAAGGAAGAGAGGAGGAAAAGGAAAAGGAGAGAGAACAAAACGGAGGCTGAATCTGGAGGGACGGGGCATGTAAAAACAACAGGGAGAAGGTTTGGTGGAAGAGGAAAGCAGCATTTTTCTGACCTGATTTTGATGCTCTCTGTACGGCCCCGCTTTCTCGGCTTCTCTGATGTGCCTTTATGACTTGTGCTTCGCTTCATCGGGTTAATGATGTTGACGTGAAGCACAGAATAAAGAGATCCTGGTCATAACTGCACTATCAAAGGATCTGAGGTCCTAGCGTCACATCCAGCATACAATTCTGCTCTAGTTTGAGCATCTTAACAACACTGGTATTATTAGTGAGCTGATAATGAAACTAAGAATGAGTTTTAACAAAAGAAGCAAGGAACAAAGATGTCCTAAATCCATTTACGAGGGCAGCAAGTCATTAATTGGTCTGGAAATTACATTTGCCTCTTTGCAGGCAATTTTATGCCTCCAACGGAACCATGGTCTCTTTGAAGTCATCCATTCTTCCCTATATTATACCACGGCATTTAGTACATTTATTTGTTTTAAATGATAATCAGAGCTTTCATCTATGTAGCATCTCTGTTTCCTCCCAGACAGAAAGGCAGGATAATTACCATTAAACCCAATTTGCAGGTTAGAACATTTCAGGCACAAATGGCCTGTTCTCTATCACACAGCAAGTCTCTTTCAGAACTAGGGAGAGAGGCAGTTTCCAAATAAACAGAATAGAACAAACTTACACAAAGAGCTCTGCTCCCACTGTGTATTCTCCTCTTTCATCGGGATCATATGAGTTTGGTTTAGGTAGGACCTTCAGGTTGATCTTAGACAATCCAAGAGCTAATTCATCGATGTCTAGCCTTTCCTTGGGGCATCCATGAATCACCTTCCTTAAACTACCAGAATACGGCTTCCTCCTGGAGAATGTGGGAAGTGAAGTGTGCCACGGGTTACTGCAACAAAGGTGTTTGCTTCACGGTGTGCAGTTATGATAGTTTGTGGGTCTCCCTACCTGCAAACAGGTAGACCTGGAAGGTAGCACAGTTCAGGGGGCTAAGGGAACTCTGGGGCCGGGCTGCCTGCCCTCAAATCCCAGTTTTTCTGCTTACCATGTGTAACCTTGGGCAAACTACATAAACGCTTTGTGCCTCAGTTTCCCCTCACTCTAAGACATACGGCCGGGTGCACTGGCTCACACCTGCAATCCCAGCACTTTGGGAGGCCAAGGTGGGCAGATCACTCGAGGCCAGTAGTTGGAGACCAGCCTGGCCGACATGGTGAAACCCCGTCTCTACTAAAAATACAAAAATGAGCCAGGCATGTTGGCGTGTGCTTGTCATCCCAGCTACTAGGGAGGCTGAGACATGAGGATCACTTGAACCTGCGAGTGGAGGTTGCGGTGAGCTGAGATTGTGCCATTGCATTCCAGCCCGGGCGACAGAGCAAGACTCTGTCTCAAAAAGATAAATAAATAAAATAAAACAGACATGCACTTATGGTATTTATTGTTGGAAGATTGAGTACCTTAATGCACACCAATGCTCAGATGACTTGGGGGCACATAGGGGACTGCTGTCACCATGCCTCACTCCTGCAGGGAAGGGGCTGCCCTACTAAAACCCCAGCGGGCCCAGTGCTGTGTCCAGAACAGGTCCTTATATTACTGCAGCCCACAATGGAACTACTGAGTAGGAGCCAAAAGAGGAGGGAGCAGGAAGAGGTGGCATTTGGAGAGGGGAGACCGCACCCACAGGTCTGCCACAGCGCGTCAACGGTATGGGGTACTTTTACAGTCAAGTTGACTTCGGTGTCCGCCCACCATCTACCTTTGTAGGACCACTGAAACAAGGGACATCCACCACGGCCCACAGCCGGGGCGCCACGGCCCCAGGAGGATATGCTAAGAAAACCATTCCACGGCCGGGTGTGGTGGCTCACGCCTGTAATCCCAGCGCTTTGGGAGGCCGAGGCGGGTGGATCACGAGGTCAGGAGTTTGAGACCAGCCTGACCAACATGGTGAAACCCCGTCTTTACTAAAAATACAAAAAATTAGCTGGGTGTGGTGGCGCGTGCCTATGATCCCAGCTACTCAGGAGGCTGAGGCAGGAGAATCGCTTGAACCCAGGAGGTGGAGGTCGCAGTGAGCTGAGGTCACGCCATTGCACTCCAGCCTGGGTGACAGAGCGAGACTCCATCTCAAAACAACAACAACAACAAAAAAAAAACAAAAGAAAACCATTCCAATCCTGTGGGTTGTTGTCTTTTTACTAGGATGATGGAAATGCAGGAAATACAGAACCTCTGCAGCTGCTTTCTCCAGGAAAGGAGATGAAAACGTTATATGTTTCAGTTGGTCAAAATGCTCTAATTTGATACTGAATATTGCAAATAAGGGATATTTAGGCATAGTTTTTTTTTTAAAATAAATTATCCACTGAAATGTATTAATATGATATAAACTTGGAAACTGATGTTTAAAAATTTTAAACTCTTAAGTCCAGACTTACTTTTACATGGCACATTTGTTATTTGGCTATAAACATTTTGATTTTCTTTGCCAATAATGAAAATAACATGAAAATGAAAAGGAAAAAAATGAAATTGAATGCCACGAAGAAAACAGATGGAAACATAAGACAAGCCCCGGCCACTGTTGGCTGGGCAGGGATGGGTGTTGGTCTCACTCCCTAAGGCTTAGAGCATGCATGGTCTCTACAGGGGACTTTGAAGGTCAGAAAAGGAGGCGTTTTCATCACACACGGAGTTAGAGAATGGTACAAAAGAACTTCTTCTCGCGAAAGGGGTTTTCTGATGCAGGCACTGGAATGATGAGAGGATCTTCCCGCACGTGAGCTTCACAGTAGGCCAGGAGGTCCGCAGCTGCCTGGGAGACCTGTGAGGGCACAGAGCACAGGTGCTCAGTTAAAGGCCCCTTTGCAGAGTGAGTCCAGGGAAGAGGTGTCCACGTACAGAGGGGACAAGCCCTAGGGTAGGCTGTATTGTGTGCACGGCCTACAACATGGTCATGCCCAGGCTGGAGGGAGGGTTTGTGCAGATCTAGGAGACTGGTTCGAAGCGGGCCTCCAAGAAGGGGAGGCTGCCCTCGCATGGCAGGCCAGCATGGAGACAGGACTGAGGGCTGGCAGGAGGCCCAGACAGCCTTGATATATTCTCGAGTAGGTGAGGAGTGGAGGTTCCAGGACAGTAGTCTCACAATGACTTTGCTAAACCGTTTCTGGAAGACTAAAGCAGAAGGCAGCCCCTGGCCAAGCCAGTGTGATCATATTTATTATCATTATTAGTTGTTTTATTGCAATCCACTCTTGTGACCAACACAGAGAGACACTTCATCCTCCTCAACAGAACTTGTATTTAGCTATATTTTATAAGCACACGTTTTATTTTTATTCATTTTTCATTTTTATTTCTTTTTTTGAGGCAGAGTCTCGCTCTGTTGCCCAGGCTAGAGTGTGGTGGCGTGATCTCCGCTCACTGCAACCTCCATCTCCTGGGTTCAAGTGATGCTCCTGCCTCAGTCTCCCAAGTAGCTGAGATTACAGGCACTCACCATGCCCAGCTAATTTTTGTATTTTTAGTAGAGATGGGGTTTCACTATGTTGGCCAGGCTGGTCTCAAACTCCTGACCTCAGGTGATCTGCCCACCTCGGCTTCCCAAAGTGCTGGGATTACAGGCATGAGCCACCGTGCCCAGCCAGCACACATGTTTTAACTTGGAGTGGCCACTTCCCTGCGGAGAGAGGTGCTCCTGACCAGAAAGTTCTTTCCATTCCATTTCTTTCCAGGCTTATCTGAAGCCTGCTGGCGCATGGCAGTTGTGCATCAAACTGTCCCCAAGCTCAAGGCCAGAGGAAGAGCAGGTTGGGAGAGGGCGGGGTGCGGACAAGCATTTGCTAAGAGGGAGAGGCAGTTACCAGCTTATTTTGTTCATGGTCTGTGTCATGTGCTTGGCAGATAAATGGCCTGTGCATTAACTCATCCTGCCAATTAGGCTGTTCTGCCTGCGAGTATTTATTAGCGGATTACAGGCAGGGGTAAATACATAGCAGTCAAATGAAATCCTTTTAGTACATTCAATGTCTAAATCTTCCCCAGAATGATAAAAATGTTCCACAGATGAAGAAAAAAAATGTTTAGAAGCCTCCAGCTACACAGGCCATACACATTCCCTTCTGGGTTTTAAAAATTGGCTCATCTTTCAGCATTTTACAGAGATTCTTCTGATTTTCAGACCTAACCGCTTTAGCAATGGCTAGAAATAATTCCAGCAGAGATATACAATGAATCAACTAAACACATCACTCAAATAAATCAACTTGAAGTTTAGCAGATGAGTTAGTCTAAATCCTGACAAAACCTACATTTGTTAAGAATGTGGCATGGAGAAATGAGTTCCGGTGAACATCAGGCTTCTAGATCTACCCCCGCCCGTAAGCTAGCTGTGTGACCTTGGGTAAGCAGCTCAACCTTTCTGAGCTTCACTTCCCTCATTTGTAAAATTCAGGAGCGTTGGAGAGCTCTAAGGTCCCAATTTACTCTAAGACGTCTATGATTCTACCTTTAATAGCATGGTCAGTATTTAAGATCCTAAAAACGTGTATGTTGAGTTGAATAGGAGTGTTTGAAGTTTGCAGTGGGTTACAGGACGCCCATATAGGAATTTCCCAGATGGGTGAGGCTCAGGGGAAAACTGAGCCTGTGGGGGGCCTGTGAAGCCATCACAAGGAGCAGGAGCACAGGCTTAAGGAAATGGACTCTGAGGCCCACAGGGCTGCGATGGACACACAAGAGAATGGAATCACATGGTGAGTGCTGCAACTCAAAGCCGGTGGACTTGGGAGATTGAGCCCTCCCTTGCTGCCACCTTCTAAGGAAAGCCAAGTGCCCTCCCCAACTGCTGGAGTGATGACCTCCTTAGTTTCCACTCCTGGCTTCTCACCATGCCCAGAGATGCAGAAGCTGCTGAGGTCTGGGGTCTCCCTCATGGCCACCATGTTAGGACAGCCACTAAATTCATCCATTGACCCCTCTGGCAACCCCTGGGCAGTGGTCTTCACTGCTGCCTGGGCAGCACACACAAGGGCTGCAGTGTTGGAACAACCACATTCCTCCTCTAGGAGCCACTGTCCTCTTGGGTTTGCTAAGTCTAGGCCCCTGACTCCAGTGAGCTCTTCTGGGAGTTCCGTTTAAGAATGGCTCGGCTGGACGCAGTGGCTCACACCTGTAATCCCAGCACTTTGGGAGGCCAAGGCGGGTGGATCGCCTGAGGTCAGGAGTTCAAGACCAGCCTGGCCAACATGGTGAAACCCCGTCTCTACAAAAAATACAAAAAATTAGCCAGGCGTGGTGGCGGGTGCCTGTAATCCCAGCTACTCAGGAGGCTGAGGCAGGAGAATCGCTTGAACTCGGGAGTTGGAAGTTGCAATGAGCTGAGATTGTGCCACTGCACTCCAGTCTGGGCAACAAGAGTGAAACTCCATCTCAAAAAAAAAAAAAAAAAAAAAGAACGTCTCGTCTGACTATCATGCCCTCTCCAGTTTTCTAGTTTTCACTTTTCCCATCTACTTCATTTTTTTTGGACATGCTCCAGTTTCATCTGAATTCTCTATAATCCTCGTTATGTCATTCAGAAAGGAAGTATTCACTATCTACCCTTTAGCTAATTCAGAGGATGCAAGAGAAAGAATAAGGCAACAGTTTTGCCCTCTAGAAGATCTCACTGTGATCTCAAACATGATGAAGTCACTATAATAATCCATGTGTGCTGAAATGTCACAAAAGAACACTTGCACGCCACTGTGGATCCATGATGAGAGGCCAGGAGACGGGGCATCTGACAACCTGTCCAGTCCCAGACAGTAGAGGACACCTTGGTGAATCTGCCCCCTTTCTTCAGAGGGCAATCACTGGACTTCTGGGCCCAGAAACACAATTTCCTGGCACACTCAGAATAGATCATCTCTTGTGGCTGACCCATATTAAACAAGCTCAGGAGGCAGCTGGATAAAACCATAATACAAATAGAAGCTAACATTTACATTTACTGAGTGCTTCTCAGGTGCCAGCACTATGCTACATGCATCAGATGTATTATGTCATTTAATTCTTCTTATACGTACGACTCTAGCCTGGGCAACATAACAAGACTCTACCATAAAATGAAAAAATTAGCCAGGCATGATAGTGCACACCGGCAGTCCCAGCTACTTGGGAGGCTGAGGCAGGGACATCGCTTGAGTCCGGGAGTTCAAGGCTGCAGTGAGCTGTGATCGCACCACTGCACACCAGCCTGGGTGGCAGAGCAAGACCCTGTCTCTAAAAAAAAAAAAAAAAAGTAGAATTCCTTATTTATAATTGACAAATAAAAATGGAATATATTTATGGTGTACAACATGATGTTTTGATACGTGTATACATTATAGAATGGCTAAATCAAGCTAACTGACATATCTATTACCTCACATACTTTTTTTGTGGTTAAAAACATAAAATTTACTCTTTTAGCAATTTTCTTTTTTCTTTTGAGATGGAGTCTCACTCTGCCATCCAGACTGGAGTGCAGTAGGGCGATCTCAGCTCACTGTAACCTCTGCCTCCTGGTTTCAAACAGTTTTCCTGCCTCAGCCTTCTAGTAGCTGGGGTTACAGGCTCCTGCCACCATGCCTGGCTAATTTTTAAATTTTTGGTAGAGATGGGGTTTCTCCATGTTGGCCGGGCTGGTCTCGAACTCCTGACCTCAGGTGATCTGCCCGCCTCGGCCTCTCAAAGTGCTGGGATTACAGGCATGAGCCTCTGAGTCTGGCAAGCAATTTTCAAGTACACATGATAAGTATTATCTTAAAGCCACTTTACAGATGAGGAAACTGAGGCACAAAGGTTAAGAAGGTCACCCATCTATTAAGAGAGGAAACCAGGGCCGGGCACGGTGGCTCACGGACTGTAATCCCAGCACTTTGGGGGGCCGAGGCAGGCAGATCACAAAATCAGGAGCTCAAGAACATCCTGGCCAACATGGTGAAACCCCGTCTCTACTAAAAATACAAAATTTAGCTGGGCGTGGTGGCCCATGCCTGTAATCCCAGCTACTCGGGAGGCTGAGGCAGGAGAATTGCTTGAACCAGGGAGTCAGAGGTTGCAGTGAGCTGAGGTCGCGCCACTGCACTCCAGCCTGGCGACAGAGTGAGACTCTGTCTCAAAAAAAAAAAAAAAAAAAAAAGAGACAGCCAGAATTTGAAGCTAAGCTGTACTGTACTACAGCCGTCCCCAACGTTTTCGGCACGAGGGAGTGGTTTCGTGGAAGACAGTTTTTCCATGAACTGGGGGTGGGGGGATGGTTTCAGGAGGATTCAAGTGCATTAGATTTATCGTACACTTTATTTCTGTTATTATTACATTGTAATACATAATGAAATAATTATATACAATTCACCATAATGCAGAATCAATGGGAGGCCTGAGCTTGTTTTTCTGCAACTAGATGGTCCCATTTGGAGGTGATGGGAGACAGTGACAGATAATCAGACACAGGATTCTCATAAGGAGCTTGCAACCTAGATCCCTCACACGCGCAGTTCACAATTGGGTTTGTGCTCCTGTAAGAATCTAATGCCGCTGCTGATCTCACAGGAGGCAGAGCTCAAGCGGTAATGCAACCAATGGGGAGCACCTGTAAATACAGATGAAGCTTTGCTTGCTCACCCGCTGCTCACTTCCTGCTGTGCGGCCCGGTTCCTAACAGGCCACAGACTGGTACTGGTCCATGGCCCGGCGGTTGGGGACCCGTTTTATACTACACAGAATCTACACTCGATACAGAATCTATAATCTACACTGTATACAGAATCTATACTCAGCCGCTATACTACAGCAGCTGCTTTGTTAATTGACAATGAGACCCGTAATTCTCAAGTGGCCTGGAACATTCTCACCTGCCCATCCATCCAGTGCACACGAGGAGAGATCCTTGTGGTTCAACTACCTGGGAGCTCACAGGACCAGAAGAAGGAGAGTCTCCCACCTAGAGTGTCTTAGGTCATTTCGTTTAACCTAGAGACAGGAGGTGTCCTCAGCTGGGACTCACCCCCTTTCCCCCCGGCCCTGAGAAGTACAGGATGGACACAGCCACTGTGGTCTCCAAGACACCCCTTCCTCTAGGCTGTGACCCGCCAATCCCCTTCTGTCTACACATACAATCCAGCTGGTCAGAAGTTGGCTGGCTAAACTGTCACGATAGCTCTCTTCCCATTGATCAGTTTACCTGTCCCGGTGGTTATCAACATCCATCATGGGCCAGTTCGACTCTTTTAATTCTCTAGGAGCAACCTCAAGGGGGCGCCTCACTGGGGAAGCTGCACTATCAACCAGTACATCCTGTACATCATGACCAAGCATTAAAGGAGTGGGCTCAAAAAATGTCGGGGCTTCGGGGGACAGCTCAGTCGAGGAGAAGTCAGGTTGGGCCCATGTTCCACTCCATAGCAGAGTAACTTCTTCCCTTACAGCCCAGTGTCTGCAACACCCTAACAATTATGCTATTAATGGTCTGGCCTTGCCAGGTCTAAGCAGGTCTCACCTAGGAATTTTTCTCTCACCTCCCAAAGGTGATACTGTACCTGATGCCACAATTTTTCTTGCAAGAAAACGAGTTGTTCTTAGATTGCCTCCTTTTGTTGCTTTAAGATCACAGTTGCGTTTGCTGAGTTATAACCACTCCTCTGGCTTGCTGAGTCCTGTCTGTGCACCCATACAACAGGAATGCACACACAATGAAGCCAGTATTACTGCCGATCAAGAAGTGCTCAGTTTAAGCCCGAATGTGTGGATCTGGGTTGGTTCCGTGAAACATTAATTTCCTAGGTGCACTCAGAATTACTGAAATGTAACACTGTGAAGAATGGCCCACTTACGCACAGCTGCATCTAATACAGCATAAGTCATCTTACAGCAAAATAGTCAAGGGAGTTTTCCACCTTCATCACCCCGTCTTTTCACATAGCGTCCAGAGTCCTATATAACCTTTATAACCAAAGTATCTTGGGTAACCCCTGAAGTTTATTGTTAATGTGATCTGAAAAGATAAATATAGGTAATGACCGTCTAAATGAGCCTGACACATGAAAGGTGGCGTCCCAACAAATAGCTCAGTATCCAGGTATTAATTAACCTGAGTCTGCTCCTTCCGCTGAGAGGGAGAGTTTTCTTAATCAGCCCTAGATTGATGTTTATGGTTGGAGGTTTCCTTCAACACGTACCAAATAGGGGTTGCAGACAACGCCAGATCCCATTAAACATCTGCCATCTTTGGAACATAAAGTAGACAATTTGCTTTCAAAGAGAAAATCTTATTCTGGTAGAAAATTGCAAATTCCTTTACTGTGTATCCTTTCTCATCAAGCCTGAATTCGGCTTTCCCTCAAGTTCACTGTGATGAAATGCCTGGAGCATCTCTGTGCCTCCCCGTCTTAGTATTGAACTGTTAGAGTTACAAGACAACAGATGTTGAAAAGAATTGGTAGCTTGGGAACAACTGTGGAATTTTACCATCACATTTCAGAGTAAAAGAGGTGATTAAGGCAGCCCAAGTTAGCACGTAATCCTGTTAGTTGCACTATAATTACAAGCTTCAATGATGGGAGAAAATGCCGCAATTACTATAGTCACATTCCATGACAAGACAGATGACATAATTATTATTGTGGCTGTGACACCCACTGCATTTATCCTTTGCATCTGAAGTAGACAGACCCACACCTATTTCTAAGCAACGCTGGTCTATTTAACAGTACTACTGGGAATCAAAAGCATCTTGGTTGGCTTTGCCTGTTTCTCCTACTCCAAGAAAACAAAGCAGGATTACAGTTAATGGTACAGCCAGGTTGCAGCCAGCATGGTGTAACGGTATATTTTACAAGGTCTATAATGGTATATTTTTACACGGTGAAATTTGGTGCACACTCCACTAGAAGATATCATATACTGCTTATCCTCAGTGGGATCCTGGGGACATTACAGGTATATACCTCACCTTTAAATTCTCAGAAAGCACTGCAGGGTGAACTCTTGTGCTTTTTTTTTTCTCCTAACATTGGGAAGTATTTGAGACCCACACACCAGTTCCTAAGGGCAGTCTCTAGATACTTTCATATTATGGCTTTCAGAGGATCCCAGTAACTACTTCGTACTATTCCTGGTCAGTGTGGGCAATTCTTACTTGTTGGCGGATGGCCTGTGTGGGGAGAGGCTTCCGCCCTGTGGGTGGGTCCTAGGCCACAGGCAACATCAAGCTTAGAGTGGGTTAGGTTATACCTGAAGGTGGAAACCAGAGAGAGGAGGGTGGGTGATATGTGTGAATAAAAGAATAATTCAACAGAGTCCGTCTCTGAACCCTTAAGTCAAATGTCCATAGCAGCAGACTAGCCACTGTTAACTACTTTCAGCATAGGCTTTTTTTCCACATCAAAAGTTGATTGCACATTGGGAGCTAAATCTAAGATGCTTGAAAGAGAGTTGTAATATCACCAAATTAACTTAAGTAAGAGTTGTTCTGACATGGCCTTCAGCACAGGAATATCAAAGCCCTCACTTGTTTAGAATATGATTGACCTAGATCCACCCTGGACCTTGACTTAACCAAGCCCGTTCAACAGGTCAGTGTTTGTCCCATCTGACTGACTATCTCTCAGTTTTGATATTTCCCAAATTTCCAAAAAGAAATCCATAATTCCATCACTTTGCAAGTTTGCCATGCTGGATAAGATGGACACTCCAGGCACTCAGCTTTGACTCCTGTAAACGAGAACGGCAACACCTGCTGGTTTGTGGCTAAATGGATGCCATCATATATTGCCGTGGTTTGAAAGTGCTGTCTCCCAAAAGCATGTTCTGGAAACAATGCGAGCATGTTAGGAGGTGAGGCCTAATGAGAAGTTATTAGGTGATGAGGGCTCTGTTCTCATGAATGGATTAATGCTGTTATCATGGGAATGGGCTCCTTATAAAAGGATGGGTTTGGCCCCTTTTTTCTCTCTCTGCCTCTCTCCTTGCCCTTCCGCCATCTGCTGTGGGGTGACACTGCAAGTAGCCCCTCACCAGAGGTAGCCCTTTCCCAGCCCCCAGAACTATGAGTTAATAAATTTCTGTGCATCATAAATTACCCAGTCTGTGGTATTCTGTTACAGCAGCACAAGCCAACTGAAACATAAGCACATGGGGTTATTAATCCATTATTCATTTGGCTACTTTCTAGTAGGACAGAGAAGATACTTGAGAAACAGACACGAAGAAGTTTCTCAGAAATTATTAGGGCATTGGATGCCCACAATGGCCCTGACCAGATCATCCCCATGAATAGAAGAGATCCCTTTCTAAGTGCAACTTTCATTTTCTTCTTCTACTACTCATGTTCTACTCTTTCATTTAATCCGAAGCATTTTCCCCTTTTATCTGATCCCAGTTCTAGAACTGCTCATCCTAATAACCTTTCCTCAATATGGCCAGATTTTTGGATTTTAGCCATTCTAATAGGTGTGTAGTGGTATCTTATTGTTTTAATTTGTAATTCTCTAGTGACATGATGTTGAACATGTTTTCATACGCTTATTTTCCATTTGTATGTCATCTTTTGTGATGTGTCTGATCAGAAATTTTGCCCTTTTCTTTTTTCTTTTGAGACGGAGTCTCACTCTGTCGCCAGGCTGCAGTGCAGTGGCGCCATCTCGGCTCACTGCAAGCTCCACCTCACGGGTTCAAGACATTCTCCTGCCTCAGCCTCCCGAGTAGCTGGGACTACAGGCGCCTGCCACCACGGCCGGCTAATTTTTTGTATTTTTAGTAGAGACGGGGTTTCACCGTGTTAGCCAGCATGGTCTCGATCTCCTGACCTCGTGATCCGCCCACCTCGGCCTCCCAAAGTGTTGGGATTACAGGTGTGAGCCACCGCGCCCGGCCATTTTGCCCATTTTTTAATGTGGTTGGTTGTTTTCTCATTGTTGTGTTTTAAGGGTTCTCTCTCTCTTGCTCTCTTGCACGCGCTCGCGCTCTCTCTCTCTATATATATACATTTTTTTTTTCTAGACGAGTCTTGCTCTGCCACCCGGCTGGACTGCAGTGGTGCAACCTCCACCTCTGGGGTTCAAGTGATCTCCCACCTCAGCTTCCTGAGTGGCTGGGATTGCAGGCACCTGCCACCATGCCTAGCTAATTTTTGTATTTTTAGTAGAGATGGGGTTTCACCATATTGGCCAGGCTGGTTTCAAACTCCTGACCTCAGGTGATCTGCCTGCCTCAGCCTCCCAACGTGCTGGGATTACAGGCGAGAGCCACCGCACTTGGCCCTTTATATATTTTGGATACAAGTCTTTTATCAGGCATGTGTTTGACAAATATTTTCTCCCAGCGTGTGGCTTGTGTTCATTCCCTTAACAGTGCTTTTCACTGAAGTCTTAAATTTTACTGTAATCTAGCTTGTCTACTTTTTTCTTTGATGGATTGTGCTTTTGCTGTTGTATCTAAAAACTCTTTGCCAAACCCAAGGTCACTTAGATTTCCTATGTCATCTTCTAGAAGTTCTGTAGTGTACTCTTTTATATTTATGTCTATAATTTATTTTGAGTTAATTTTTATAAAATGTAAAAGGTCTGTGTCTAGATTCATTTTCTGCATGTGGATGTTCAGTTGTTCTTACAGTATTTGTTGAAAAGACTATCTTTGCTTCATGGTATTGGCTTTGCACCTTTGTCAAAGATCAGCTGGCTATATTTACATGGGTCTATTTTGGGGCTCTCTATTCTGTTCCACTGACCTACACGTCTACTCTTTCACCAATACCACATTGTCTTAATTACTGTAGTTTTATAGTAAGTCTTTCAGTCAGGTAGTGTCGGTTCTCCAACTTTGTTCTTCTCCTTCAGTATTTTATTGGCTATTCTGGGTCTTTTGGCTTTCCATATAAACTTTAAAATCATTTTGTCAATATCCACAAGATAAGATTTGCTGGGATTTTGGGGTGGGGCACAGCAGCTCATGCCTGTAATCCCAGCACTTTGGGAGGTCGAGGCAGGTGGATCACTTGAGGTCAGGAGTTCAAGACCAGCCTGGCCAATATGGCGAAACCCCATCTCTACTAAAAATACAAAAATTAGCTGCTGGGCATGGTGGGCCTGTAATCCCAACTACTCAGGAGGCTGAGGCAGGAGAGTTGCTTGAATCTGGGAGGCAGAGGTTGCAGAGAGCCAAGATGGCACCACTGCACTCCAGCTTGGGCAACAGAGCAAGGCTCTGTCTCAAGAAAAAAAAAAAGAAAAAAAAAAAAAGAAAAAAAAAAAAGAAGAAAATTTGCTGGGATTCTGATTGGGATCACATTGAATCTACAGATCAAGTTGGGAAAAACTGCTATTTTAACTATATTGAGTCTTCTTATCCATGAACATGGACTATCTCTCCATTTATTTAGATGTTTGATTTTTTCCTCAGAGTTTTGTAGTTTTCCTCATATAGATCTTGTGCATATTGAATATATCTGATATATTTTTGCCCATCTTTTTACATTCAACCTGAGTCACTTTATTTTAGGTCTATGTCTAATGCAAAATATATTCTTTTTAAAGGTTAAATCTGATAATCTAAATTAGTTTTCCCACTTAACACTTATTATTAAGATAGATGTATTTGGTATTGTTTCTGCTGTCTTATTTTGTCTTTTGAAACTTTTACATTCTCTTTTGTTTTCTGTTGATGTTCCATGGTCTTTATTTCTTGTACTCCAGTAATTAAGAAGTATAGGCCAGGCGTGATGGCTCATGCCTGTAATCCCAGCACTTTGGGAGGCTGAGGTGGGCGGGTCACTTAAGGTCAGGAGTTTGAGACCAGCCTGGCCAACATAGTGAAACCCCATCTCTACTAAAATTACAAAAATTAGCCGGGCGTAGCGGTGCGCACCTGTAGTCCCAGCTACTTGGGATTGCTTGAACCCAGAGGCAGAGGTTGCAGTGAGCAGAGATCGCCCCACGGCATTCCAGCCTGGACAACAGAGTGAAACTGTCTCAAAAAAAAAAAAAAAAAAAAAAAAAAAAAGCGTTTTATCTTTATAGCCTTAATATGTTTATAATGTTAATCAATTTCAGAAATGAAGTTATATTGATTGATTCACATCTATGAAATATGAGGAAATTGGCTATACTGGACAATTATCATGCATGTTTTCCCCCAGCAACTGAACCCCTTCTCTGGTTGGAGGAATGATCTACTTTATGAGTCCTCGTGTGGGGAAACAATTATTTCTCTTAATAGATCTGAAAATGTTAAATACTCACCTTCCCAGAATCTTGCAACTTGGCACATGTGACTTTGTTTCTGTCTATCTGACACACATGTGCCAGACTTTGGTGAATGATCTGAGGGAAAAGACATTAGGAGCTTTTGTTCTGGTGGCAGTGGTCCTGACTAGAAGGTTGAGTTCCTGGCTCAGAGTGATAGTGGTATAAACTGTAGCATGTAGTGCTGGGTGGTGATTGCAGCAGTTCCTTCCTCAGACTGTTCTGCAGTGTGGTTTTGAGTGCTGTTCCCAGAAGATGAATCTTAAGCCCACTTCTCTAGACTTTCCAGCAATTTTATAAGCTATTCAAAATCCCTTTAATAAATTCCTTTTATAATCAACCTAGATGCTTACCAACAGTGGACTGGATAAGAAAATGTAGTATATATACACCATGAAATACAATGCAGCTATAAAAATGAATGAAATTGTGTCCTTTGCAGCAGTATGAATACAGCTGGCGGCCATTATCCTAATTGAATTAATGCAGGAACAGAAAACCAAATGCCACACGTTCTCATTTATAACTGGGAGCTAAATATTGAGTACACATGGTCACAAAGATGGGAATAGGAGACACCAGGAACGAGAGACACACTACTTGAGGGGTGATGGGGGGAGGAAGGTAAGGGCTGAAAAACTACCTGTTGGGTACTATGCTGACTACCTGGGGGATGAAATCACTGGTGCACCAAACCCTACTGACATCCAATTTACCCACTTAACAAACTTGCACATGTACCCCTTGAAACTAAAATTAAAGTTGAAACTAACCAACTAACTAAATTCCTTTTATGTTTACTCAGCCAGGGTAAGCTTCTGTTATTTGTAATAAAGACTCTTGGACTGACAGGTTGCCATATTTATACTCTCCTCTCTTCTCCCTCCCCTATTTTAATGTAAGTATTTTCTAGGATTGTCATAGTCTACTACTGACAAATATTTATTTTTACATCATATAGATTTCTGAGAAGAATGATAAAAATTACATTTTTTTAAGAGTGGTCATCATAGTTATTATTATTTTTTTTAGACAGAGTCTAGCTCTGTTGCCCAGGCTGGAGTGCAGTGGCACAATCTCAGCTCACTGCAACCTCTGCCTCCCGGGTTCAAGCGATTCTTCTGCCTCAGCCCCCCGAGTAGCTGGGACCACAGGCGTGTGCCTCCACGCCCGGCTTATTTTGGTATTCTTAGTAGAGATGGGGTTTCACCATGTTGGCCAGGATGGTCTTGATCTCTTGACCTGTGATCCGCCCACCTTGGCCTCCCAAAATGCTGGGATTACAGGCGTGAGCCACAGCGCCCAGCCAGTTATTCTTAATTCTAAGTTTACATTGATTGAATAACCCTGCAACTTCTTTCCTACCATGCCATCCCCGTGTGGAAGTTATTTCGATTCAGTCAGCTGGCTGGATCCCATGTTACACACATGTATGTGCAGAGTCCAGAGGAGGCAGGAGACCACTCGGGCCATGGTGCTGGCAAGAATCCTGAACAGGAAGGTCGTCTCTGAGCAAGTCAGAGGCTAAAGAAAGAGGGTGGCAGTTGGCCCAGCGCAGTGGCATGCCTGTAATCCCAGCAATTTGGGAGGCCGAGGTGGGCGGATCACCTGAGGTCAGGAGTTCGAAACCAGCCTGGCCAACATGGTGAAACCCCATCTCTACTAAAAATACAAAAATTAGCCGGGCATGGTGGTGATGGGCGCCTGTAATCCCAACTACTCAGGAGGCTGATGCAGGAGAATCACTTGAACCCAGGAGGAGGAGGCTGCAGTGAGCCGAGATCGTGCCACTGCACTCTAGCCTGGGCTTGTGACAGAGTGAGACTCTGTTTCAAAAAACAAACAAACAAGCAACAACAACAAAAAACACAATATGGCAGTGACTAGAAGATCCCCAAAGGTCCTGGGAATAAAGAACAACCACAATGGGCTGGTGCAAGCTCTTCGTCAGGCTCCCAAGGTGAGAGAATTGCTTGAGCTCAGGAGTTGAGAGCAGTCTGGCAAACATAGCGAGACCCCCGTCTCTATTAAATTTTTTTTCAATTAGCTGGACATGGTGGTATGTGCCTACTTAGGTTTGCTTAGGTTTGACAGCTTCTCAGGGTGGAACTTTTGAAATACGAGGCAGTAGACTGCCCAGTCGTTCCTATGGAGTTCATCATCAGCCTCACAGGTGACCTAGTGTTCTTTTTGGGGCAGCTGCTGATGTTTGTGCATTCCATGAGCTGACACAGAGGGACAGAGGTCCCTTTTACCATTTGGTATCTTCAGTCAATGGAGTAAGAAAGTTGTCTGATACCCAAATCTGAAGGCTATTAAGAGTGAGAATTGAGAATCTGACTCTATCACACTGATAAAGAATTGAGCAGAATTCTAGGACTGAATATTGACCCAGAAACTATAACTTGGCAGAGAGCATTTGAATCCCAGTGATAGACTTTGGAGGCAGATCACCTTTGGAGAGTGGTGACTCACACTGATGTCTCCATGGTGAGTGAAATCGTGAGTGTTCTGTCTTTCAACAGTGCTCTAAACAGGGGTCTCCAACCCCCTGCCAGGGACCAGTACCAGTCCATGGCCTGTTAGGAAGCAGGCTGCACAGCAGGAGGTGAGCGGCCAGCGAGTGAGCATTACCGCCTGAGCTCCGCCTCCTGTCAGATCAGCGGAGGCCTTAGATTCCCATAGGAGCGTGAACCCTATTGTCAACTGCGCATGCAAGGAATCTAGCTTGCATGCTCCTTATGAGAACCTAATGCCTGATGATCTGTCACTGTCTCCCAACACCTGTCCTGTCTAGTTGCAGGAAAACAAGCTTAGGGCTTCCACTGATTCTACATTATGGTGAGTATGTAATAATAATAGCAATAAAGTGCATAATAAATGTAATGCTTGAATCATCCCCAAACCGTCCCCCATGACCTGTGGAAAAACTGTCTCCCATGAAACCAGTTCCTAGTGCCAAAAAGGGTGGGGACCGCTGCTCTAAAAGATAGGAGAGACTGAGGAAAATGGCGGTGCTATCTAATGAGAACGGGGATGCTACCAGTGCTGAAGATCTGGGTGTGAGTGGTGCCTTGACAAGTGCTATGAAGGATGCATCAAGCCCAGTCTCATACAGACTCAGAGGGAATGCTAATATTCATCTGATGGACATGAAGCCCTCTAGCACAGCAGGTCCAACAGCACGAAGACTTGTTGGTTCTGAATGCTCTATAGCGATGGAAGCTGGATTTGGAGATAACTTTGTCTTGAAAGCAGTTTTTTTAAAGTATTATTATTATTATTGAAATAAAGTCTTGCTCTGTTGCCCTGGCTGGAGTGCAGTGGTGAGATCATAACTCAAAGCAGCCTCTGTCTTCTGGGCTCAAGTGATCCTCCCACCTCAGCCTCCTAAGTAGGCACATACCACCATGTCCAGCTAATTAAAAAAAAAAAATTTAGTAGAGATGTGGTCTCGCTATGTTTCCCAGACTGGTCTCAAACTCCTGAGCTCAAGCAATTCTCCCACCTTGGCCTCCCAAAGTGCCAGGATTACAGACTTGAGCCACTGCACCCGGCATAAAAAAATGTTTAATTATAGGACTATATGTTTATACAAATATATGTGTACATATATACACATATATGTGTATTTCTATAAAACATACATGACATCAAATGCATCGTCTTAACTATTTTTAAGTATATAGTTCAGTAGTATTAAGTATTTTCACATTCTTGTGCAACTATCAGTACCATCCGTCTCCAGAACTTGCAAAACTGAAACTCTGTTTCCATTAAACAACCCTCCATTCTCTCCTTCCCCCAGGCCCTGGAGAACACCATTCTCCTGTCTGTTTCTATGAATTTGACTCCTCTAGGTACCTCATATAGGTGGAACACAATATTTTGTCTTTTTGTGCCTGGCTTATTTCTCTTAGCATAGTGTCCTCAAGGTTCATTCATGTTGTCCCACATGTCTGAGTTTCCTTCCTGTTTAAGGCTGAATAATTTTCTGTTTTAAGTATACACTACATTTTGTTTATCCATTTATCTGTTGATAGACATTTAGGTAGCTTCTATGCCTTGGCTATTGTGAATAAACTGCTATTAATATGGATGTACAGATCTCTCTTCAAGACCCTACTTCCAATTCTTTTGAGTCTATTCATAGGTGATACATGGATTGTCTCACCCGATCCCATTTCTATAATATTGATTTGGGCTCTGTGGAATCCTGATAAATAAGCAACAATGAGGAAGGGGTCCCAGGTTGGGGAGAACAATTGTTCTGAGAGACGGCTAACCACAAACAGGCCCTTGCACAACATCCTGTTCCCTCACTCTGCACGTAGCCCCAGCAGCAGGACTGTAACTGCACGAACCCCCTCCAGCATGACCCTATAAAGCTTCCTTCCAGCCCCTGCCTTTTTGGAGACAGTCCCTTTTCTGCTGTGCTGCCCGTTGCTTCCTTGCAACATACTTTCCTTCTAATAAATCTGCTTTTTTTTTTTTAAACCTATGACTGCCTTGGCAAATTCCTTTAGCACTCATGATCCCCGCTCTAGTCATCACACCTGCAACAGGCCCTGCATCAAAACAGGTGACTGAGCTGTTCCAAGTACATCAAGCCCATCCTTCAGTGCCTTCAATGCCTCCTATGACTCAGATTGTGTGTGGATCCAGCCATGTGCAAGACCCTCAGCCCCTGCTCGGGAAGACCTTTTGACTGAGCAGGCATTTTCTCAGCTTTCTTATGGTCTTAATGTATATTATCATGTGTAAATTAACATAATTATGCACATCTGTATCTCCTTTAGTGAAATTCAATGGAATAAAATAAAATAAGTTTGCTAAAGAAAAGCAGCACATATTTGCATTACATTTAAACTTCTGCATAATTGAGAATATATCTATGTTGCCATGGACATAAATGGCCACTTGGTTGGGTAGAGAATTC